>NC_000013.11:73256590-73408106 GCF_000001405.40 Homo sapiens | reverse complement strand
CCCTATTTAGTGATGGAATATGCCCTCGAAGGAGTGCTTTTCCACCAAATACACCATCACAGCCACATCAAAGATGACAAGAAGGCCCGGGCCATGTTTAAGCAGACACCGTCCACCCTCCAGTACAGCTACAGAAAGAAAATCGTGAACTGGGACCTGAAGCCGCAGAACATCCTACTGCATGAAGAACATAACTTAAATATAGTCAACTTTGGTTTCAGCACCACATTTGCAGAAGGAGAGATGCTGGGAGCCTTTTATGGGACTTGCTCTTATGTTGCCCCAGAACTCTTCCTGGGCCATGGTTACCAAGTCCCTAACACCTTATTTCTCTCTCTAAGGCAGGTCTTTTAGGTTGGCAAGAAGCAAAATGTTTTTAACATAAAGTTGACAAATCTCCTAGTGGTCCAGTGGAAGCCCTGGCTAATTTTACAGCAAAATAGAATAATGCCAGAAACATGATAATAACTAAAGGAACATGACTTGAATCCCACGTAGAGACCTCCATGGTAGTTTGCACATGTCTATAATTTTTTACAAATTAAATCATTGAGAGGTTGAGAGGAGGGAGAGATAAATAGGTGGAGCACAATAAATTTTAGGACAGTTTTTATTATGTATAATGGTGGATACATGGCATTACATAACTGTCAAAACCCATAAAATTAGACAACACAGAGAGAAAAACTAGTGTCAACTATGAACTTTAATAAGATATCAATATTGGTTCATCAGCTGTAAAAATGTACCACCCTAAAACAAAATTTTAATAATGGGGAAAGTGTGGTGTTGGGGATAGAGGAAGTACTGGAAACTCTCTTTCTGCTTAATTTCCCCAGAAACCTAAAACTGCTCTTAAAAATAAAGTCTTACTTTTTAAAATTTGAATCATATTTGAACAAAAGCTAAAGAGATTATATTTTTGAAAATACTAACGATATCCCCTTATTGCAGAAGCAGTATATAAAATTCCAGCCTAATTATGACTCTTCCTTGAGCCTATGTGTATGAGCGACATGCTCAAAAAGAGCAATGATATCACAGTTATTAGTCTACCTTGAACCAAAAAATGAATTATCAGTTTTTAAAGTAAAGATCAGTGACGATCACCATGAAATTGATATCTCTATTTATTAGCCCAGAACAAAAGATAAAATATTTTATATCCTGTAAGACTTCTACATTTTTGGCCCATCTACGTATAGCTTAAAGGTAATGGGAGGGGCAGCTAGATCACACAGACAACTGAATTCTGATTTGTTCTGGATCTTTTTGTACTTCCTTTCCTAGGAATCTCATAAGCCAAGATTTAAATGTCATGGGAAAGTGGAAGTAATACACTATTCTTTAAGGTAAGTCATCAAGAATCAAATGGTTATGGTATGGCAATATTTCATATGTATCCAATGTCTTTGTGTCCTGAGTCATCTTAAGAACAAGTAGTTCAATTAAGCATAAAAGATGACATCAGTTACAACAAACAATTGTGTGAAGAGTTTGAGGATTATCAGAGTCCAGAACTTACAAACTCTATAATGACTAAATACATATTTAAAGAGATGCTGTCATGGCCCTTCTCTACATACTGTCTTTTGAGGTTGTGGGATGACATTGCAGTAATCGTTCAGTGTATTCTGATGTGGTCAACACAAGGAAAATTAACAAACAGGTCAAATTTAACTTTGGAACACCTCCAGGGATAACTTATGTTCTTTATTCCCAGAAACAGCTTCTGGATTCCCCCATTGCTTGGGAACTTTTCCTTACTGACCCTAAAACATTTGCTACTCCTGGCCCTATCTCATGTTGATTGCTTGAAGGGCAGGACCTCACTCATGGTGGCCTATGTGGGCTACCCTTCTCATTAGTATTCTTGCTGCTCTACCAGTACCATCCATTGATTTGCTCATTTTTAATTCACTCATTTTCTTATGTTTATTCACTCATTTACTCACATATATATTCAACATGTATATGCTGAGCCCCTACTATAAACTAGACACCAGGCTAGGCTCTGGGATATTGTCCAAACTTGTCCGACCCACAGACCGTGTGCCACATGTGGCCCAGGACAGCTTTGAATGTGGCCCAACACAAATTCCTAAACTTTCTTAAAACATTATGAGATTTTTTTTTGCAATTTTTTTAACTCATCAGCTATGGTTAGTGTTGGTGTATTTTATGTGTGGCCCAAGACAATTCTTCTTCCAGTGTGGCCCAGGAAGACAAAAGATTGGACACTCTGTCGTAAACAATAAAAGATGCGGTCCCTCTACTCGTGAAGTTTGCAGGCTATCTAGAAAGACAAACATTAAACACAAATCACACAAATGAGTTTTTATTAAAATATTCATAAGTGTTACACTTATGAGGACCTGTAAGATAGAGGAAACTAACCTGAAAATGTCTGAGTGGGAGTTAGCCAAGAGATGTTTAAGGCTCTGATGTTTTTATTTAGTCTAGCCTATCATCAACATGCTGAAACCTGCCAGTCTTCCATCTCACCTCTTGAGGACAAAGCTCCCTATTCTTTTTAAAGATGCAATTAGCTAATCTAATAAATTCATTGTAGTATTGATATGCCTGTGGAATAAAAGCTTCTAGTGATATCTTCAGAAGAACCTCTTCTCTGAACAACCCCATTTGTTCATGTCAAAGGAGGCATCAAGCCCCTCTGGTGTCCATAAATCAGTATTTTGGTAATTTTTTTTTTGAGACAGGGTCTCACTCTATTGCCCAGGCTGGATTGCAGTGGCATGATCAAGGTTCACTGGAACCTTGACCTCCTGTGTTCAAGCTAACCTCCCACCTCAGCCTCTTGCATAGCTGAGACTACAGGTGCATGCGACAATGCCCAGCTAACTTATTTTTTGTAGAAACAAGGTTTCCCTATGTTTCTCAGGGTGATCTTGAACTCCTGGGCTCAATGGATCCTCCCATTCCGGCCTCCCAAAGCGTTGGGATTATAGGTGTGAGCCACCATGCCCAGCCTCATAAATCAGTATTTCTTACTGGGGAAATGTGAGATCAGCTATGATGGGAGAGCTGATAGATGAGCTACTTTGGACAGAGTGGTTCACACTGCATTCTGCCGCCTCCTTTATCTTTACCAAAGTGAGACCTGACAGTGATCCTCAGGCAGATGCCCTGGGGCTTTCTAGGCCTCACATCTTGCCCACAACCGAAGAAAGTCCTTGAAAAAACTCACAGAGACCTACCTTAGTGGTGGTGACCTTAGATCACTGTTGTAAACCTTCATAGAAGATTCTTACAGTTATCTCTTGGCCTTGGGCTACCTAATAAGACAGTCTTTATAGGAGCCATAAAAGCCTGGGAGATCCCAGCAAGATATTGATCAGCCCATCCTGGCACAACTGTGAGGTGGCAGCAGTTTAACTCCAATCTCTCCCTAGGAGCCTCTGCATTATCTCCATATAACAGGAATAGCCCACTTTGTGTTACCTGTTTGATGCCCAGAAGTCTGCATTGTTATGTCTTATTAGTCAAACCAATGTCCGTATCTCCTAATCAAAATGTATCTATCCTCTGTACCATTGTCTCAAAAACCTACTATATCTACAGTATTGTTAGCTGTCATATCAGTGAACAGGTCAGCCAATGTAAATATACAGAATCACTGGGTTAGTTGTATCTCAATGTTCTTATGCAAAATGCTCTCCCTTTTCCTTATGTTTTCATTTTTCTGGGCCTCATTTTCCTTATGACTAAGAGAAGGCATCAGACTACAGACATTTTGAGTTATTTAAAGCTCCTATAATTGGTTAACATGAATAAATTTAAAGGTTTAATGGAAGCTTGTTATTTCCACTGATGTATTTCTCCTTCCAGGAATTATAATGTTCATAGTCTGACAACTGTTCCCAACCCTGGGTCAGCTAGCAGGGTATTTCATGATCTGCCTTTCTCCGACCACCTACTTCACCAGAACCTTCCTCCATCACTGGAACCCTTCACTCCTTCTATAATTTCTCAGATGGATCATGTTCTCCCAGGCCTCAAAGATGTGCATATTCTGCCATGTCTGCCTGGAAGAAAGTTCTGGCATACCTTCTTTGCCTTTTTTCCCTTTAATTAGAAAATATTTCAAACATACCAAACACTACAGAGACTAATATAACAGGCATGCATTTACCCACAACTCTTTTAACACATGCTAATATTTTGAATATTTTGGTGTTTTTCACTAATCTCTTTTAAAGAAGTGCTGCAGATCCAGTTGAATATTCTACCTTTACTCCATCTTCTTCCCTAGAAGCAAACACTGTTCTGCACTGTGTGGTTTTTGCTTTTGCCTTATATGTATTTACCCATAAATATTATTTAGAATTATTTTGTGGGACGTTTAAAACTTGTATATATCCAATACTGTATGTATTGATTTTTTATTTGCATTTTTGGCCAATATAATATTTTCTGGCATCATCTCTGTTAATAACATGTAGAGCCAGTTTATTCATTTAACCTCTTATTTCCATTATGTGAATATACCATAATTTGATGAGTCATTCACTCACTGAATGTACATTTAGGCTAGTTCACTTTTTGTGCTTTTACAAATAGCACCACAGGAAACACCCTCCTAAATAGCTCCTTGGGCATGTGTGAGAGAGTTTTTCTCCAGGGTATATGCCTAAGCATAGAATGCTGGATCACAGGTTATAAAATCTGCACATTTGCTAGATATTTGCAAGTCATGTAAACAACAAAGAATTAGTATACAGAATATATATAAACAATGCCTTAAAATGTGTAAGAAAAATAAATGATCCAATAAAAAATGGACAAAGGATATAAACAGGCAACCAAAAAAAAGAGAAACCCCAATTTGCTGTTAAATATTAGAAATACGGGGCCAGCCACAGTGGCTTACGCCTGTAATCCCAGCACTTTGGGAGGCCAAGGCCAAGGGGGATCACCTGAGGTCAGGAGTTTGGGACCAGCCTGGCCAAGATGGTGAAACCCCATCTCTATTAAAAATACAAAAATTAGCTGGTGTGGTAGCATGCACCTGTAATCCCAGCTACTGCGGAGGCTGAGGCAGGAGAATTGCTTGAACCTGGGAGGCGGAAGTTGCAGTGAGCTGAGATCACACCACTGCACTCTAGCCTGGGTGACAGAGCAAGACTCCATCTAAATATATATATATATATATATATATATATATATATATATGTGTGTGTGCGTGTGTGTGTGTGTGTGTGTGTGTGTGTGTGTGTGTGTGAAATATGTTCAACTCAGAAGTAATCAGGGTAATTCAAATTAAAACAAAGAAACCCCAAGGCGAGCTGCTATTTCATACATATCAAGGTGGCAGAAATTTAAAAGGCTGAGGAAAGAGGATGCTGGGCTGGGAGTCACAGGAGTAATCCTATGGGATGATAATGAGTGATTTAATCTCCCTGGGCCTTACCTATTTCATCTATAAAATGAATATAATACCTAAGGACCCTGCAAACCCTCATGTTGCCTTGACCTTCTCTCCCTACTCAATTAAATATGATTCTAACAGCAACAGATTTGGGAATATAAAATGAAGGAGGCACATTATCTGCCTCATCAAGCAAGGAGGGCCTGCTAGTATTGACAAACTCTGTTTTGATGCATTCATTTGTTCTTTTTTTCCACAAACTATTTATTTTGTATTTATTTTTATTTTATTTATTTATGTATGTATTTATTGAGACTGAGTCTTGCTCTGTTGCCAGGCTGGAGTGCAGTGGCATGATCTCAGCTCGCTGCAACCTCTGCCTCCCAGGTTCAAGCGATTCTCCTGCCTCAGTCTCCTGAGTAGCTGGGACTACAGGTGCGTGCCACCACGCCCAGCTAATTTTTGTATTTTTAGTAGAGACGGGTTTTCACCATGTTGGCCAGGATGGTCTCAATCTCTTGACCTTGTGATCCACCCGCCTTGTCCTCCCAAAGTGCTGGGATTACAGGCATAAGCCACTGCACCTGGCCACTATTTATTAACTGCCTATTACATACTGGACATTTGCCAAGTCACTGGCCTTACAGAACTTATGGGAGAGTGAAAAATAGAAACTCTTAAAAGAGACAATCAAATCCACAGGTAAGTGTTATGTGCAGGAGTGTAGAGGGGCAATAGGAGGCACTATAACCCAGAGTTGGGACGTTGAAGAAGGATTCCTAAAAATAGCCATGTCTAAAGGAGACTTAAAAGTTGAGTGGCATCATCCCGGTATAAGGGAGAGCAAATAGAACCAGGCAAAAGGCTACAAACAGCATGAGGGAAGATACAGAAGTTAAAGAGCATTTGAAAGAACTGAAAGTCAGTATCTGAAGGCTAGCATTCAAGAAGTGAAGAGTAAAGAGATAGGGTGGGAGAGGTATAAAAAGTATAAGATTATACAGGCTATGTAAAGAGGCTTAGATTTTATCTGAAGAGAAAGGGGGAGCTATTGATGGCTTTAAAGAGAAGGGCAGGTTTGGCTTATAGTCCAGAAAGGTCTATCTCCAAGGTCAAGAACAAGAAGCCCAAATAGTAACCCAGGCAGGAGGTGGTACAGAGCTATGCACTGCAAGTGCCAAAGGGGATGGAGTGAAATGGGCAGATCTAAGAAATTTTAGACACACAGAGTCAGTAGGACCTCGTTTGATTAGATGTATGAGGTCAGTAAAGAGAAATAATCAGAAGGGCTCTTGGGTTTATGGCTTAAACAAACATGGTAAATATGGTGCTATTCGTGGAGATGCAGGTCACAGGCCACAGAACAGAAGCAGTTGTGTACCCAATGACAGTGTTGGACAGGTTGAGTTTGAGGTATCTGGGGGACATCTGAGTGCAGATACCTAGCTATTAGTTGAATAAAGGACTCTAAAATCCTAAAGAACAGTGTTGCCTCAAGATTAAAGAATCATTACCATAGAGCCGGCAATTGAAACTCTACTAGTAAATAATGTTATCTGGCTGGCACTTCTAGAACAAGTGGAAAGAGCAAAGGAGACTAGGAAGAAGTTGTCAGAGGGGCGGGTTAAAAAAAAAGAAGAGTGCAGTTTTACACACACACACATATATATAGATAAAGTAAGCAACAGGGTCAACAGCTGCTGAGAGCCACAAGAATTTTCTATCTTTAAATATATTTATCTATTCTAAAAGGTAGGTCTTAGCAATAATGACTTTTCAAGGAAGTCCCATAATGGTTGCTGGACTTACCCTATCCCAGAATTGACTTTAAGAGATCAATTTATGTCTACACTGGGGCATTGGAGCAGCTTGTAGAGAATTTGACTCCATTCCTACAGTCCCCTAGGGGGATCTACCCTAGTAGAAAGTGTCACTTCTGACTTCACCATGCTTGTCAGTCACACCTGTATGGTTGTAATGCAAGAGGCAACCCCCAATTAACTTGCACTGCAGTGCCAAACAAGAGCTAACAGATGATGCCATAGCGAGGTAAGGAAAGTATTCTGTTAACATCTGTGAAAACTTCTGAGATGCAGAAGGCAATGGCACATTTAGAAATTTAGCCAAAATGATAGGGTCATCCACCTCCAATTTTAGAAGAAGAAGAAGAAAAAGAAGTCAACTGGAAAATGTGCTGAGACCTAATTCAGGATGTACCAAGAACTCCTGCCTCTAGAAGGGCACTTTCACCAAAGAGTATGCCAGCAGTGCTAGTTTTGAACTCCTCCAAAGAAAAGAGGGGCTAAGAAAATGTTCCTCTGCTTCCTCAACTCCTTCCAAACCACCACACGTTCTCAAACTAGTACCATTTATACTCTGCTAGTCCCATCAGCTGCTCACTAACCAAGCAGACTTATCAGTGTTTGAATAAAGGCTTTGACATTGCTACTTTAGTTTAAAAAAAAAATGAAATCTGATTTTCGTTGGTTGCCTTCCTACTACAGATTGCACAAATTACAAAGGTGGTCACAAATGATGTCTTCCAATAATTCTGCCTTAGTGAAGTCGATAGAATGGTGGCATCCACGGAGAAAGAAATACATGAGGGGGTGATGAAGAACCATGCTCCTCAGGAAAAGGAAATACAGTCCTTGATCTCTTGTAAATACTTCCAAAGGAATAAAAGCGGGAGCAGGGAGAAATGCGCCATGACAATGTATGTCAAAACATTGTCACTCAGAATGGATGGCATAAAAGGTTAAGAGGAAGAAAAGGGCAGGCGCTGTATACAGAAATTTTCAGTTGTGTTTTCAAATCACTCGGATTTGAGGTGCTGAAAGGCCTGGAGGCCAGGGATTTATGTATAAGCGAATCATTCAAAAACGTATAAATGGCTGCCAGAGCAAAGTACAATGTTCACTTTTGAAATGACAAAAAAAGCTTTGTTTTAAGTAGGCTGAATCGACTAAAGTCAAGTTTCAATGAAGCATGTTTTTGCTTTGGGTGTCATTATTTAGTTTGGCATCCATGCCAAAGAAACCTTTTTCTCACTGCAACTGTTGTTTTTCTTCTGCTCCTACAACCCTGAAAGTCTAGGCAAGATCCTGATGCTAAATATTTAAATGAGAACTGGCTCCCTGTTTACCTTTGATTCTGATAAAGGGAGTGGGGAGCATGGGGTCTTGATTGCTTGCCAGGACTTGTAAAGCTGATAGTTGTGTGCCTTGTCTCTTGAATAATCTGGAAAATCAAGTTTAGCTGGTTTGATCAAAGAGTTTGCAAGTCAGTTGAGAACTCTTGCATGCAATAACTATAGATACTGTATACATCGAACAGCCAAAGGCCAAAAAGTGAATAGCTTTGCCAGAGATAAAGGATTATGTATGTTATGCTTGTGAATACCAAAAGAAGGAATTCTCCATTTTAATATGGATTGCTAAGGTTTGTACCGCTTAGACATTCAGACAAACAAAATACTCTAAATCTTAGGGATTTAACTCATGATGAAAAAAATTTTTAATCCTGCTGCTATCAGCCCATATGAATCCAGTGTGGAGTGAGGGAATAAACGACACACTTCCTACTGACGGTTTATCAAGAGAGAGGAGAGTAGTTTTAAATAGTTTCGGGATGAGATTGCCTCATTTTTTTGGAATCACTTTTCATCCAAATCTTCTAGCTGGAACACCTGTAGAGACAAGAAGATTTTGATGGAGATTGATGTTGATACAGAAAGGACATGGCATGCACTGTTTTTCGGACATCTTCCTTTTGGGCAAGTAGGTCACGTGGGAAAAACTCAGTTTCTCTGCCAAGAAATGATACCCTGGATCAGGAAACTATATGTCTCAACCTGAGAAATGAGAAAAATTCAAACTGGAAAAGTTCAATCAGATCATCTGCATCTGGTCTTTCCTCTGAATTAACCATCTGACTGGGTCTCACAAGCTGATTTCATGCCCTGTGCTTTTATTTTGATTTAACTAACTCAAAATTCAACACCTTTCTTGGCAAAATTATGGACAATGAATTATGGACAACGAATTGCTCCTTCAGCCAAGTGTTTCGCTTCTTAAAAGATAATATTAAATAATTTCCTACGAGGAAAACCGTTGATGAGCCACTCAGTGCCCTAGTGTGGGTAAAGAATATTATGAATACCTGCAAAAAACAGGCACTTTGATTGTGATTTCTTAAAATGGACACTGTTTTAGTTACTACTGAGAATTCCCATGAAACTACTGTTGGGAAGAGTTTTACACACACATACACACACACGCGCGCACACACACACACACTTGGCACATTGATCTGGCATTAAACTAAATTACAGGTACAGCAGTGACACATGTAAACGAATATGCCAATACAAGTCACCGAATGTTATGTGCCATGCACAACAATAGGCAATGAATTATTGAGTTTTGTAGTAATTAAAGAACTACTTTGTTGCTAAGAATCAGTGTATTACTGGTTCTTATGAATCAGAATGAATGTAAAAACATACATTCTTATTAGCTGCATTTCCAAGAGTTAGAAAGATAAGAGGTGGATCACAGGTTTCAGGGAACTATTATTAAGTTCTCATAGTATTTTCTTAATCACATGCATTTTTTAAGAGAAAGCTCAGAGTCCATATCACATAAACAAGGTCTGATTGTGGGGTTTTGAATGGCTATTGCAGGGTTTTCTTCTTTCCACGTTGTTTTTCCCCCTCACTGCACCAAATTTCACTTCTCGGAATCAGGACCTGAACCAAAGTTAAACATCATAAAGAAATTTACCTAGTAAAGACGGACTTTTATTGACTGAAAAGCATTTTTACAGTGTAATCTGCACTTTTTTAAGTCCTTGTGGAAAATCCCCTATGATTGAGTGGTACTTAAAGACTTCAAAATACGCATTGCCCATGAAGCTTTCAAAAGTCAAAGAGAGGGGACAAAGGGGAAAAAACTGGTCTATCTGACCCACCAGTCTCTTGTCTCCACAACAAAAAGACTGCTTTTATGAGCCGCCCTGCTCATTGGCCTCACCACCCTGCCTGGCCTCTCGATCTTGGGGCAATGCCTGCTCTCTGGCCAGCAGCGAAACACTGCAGACCCAAACTGCCCCATCTCTGCTCCTAGAACTCCTTCCCAAATTCTCAGTCTCCCCACCATTTCTTCCCTGTGACACTGACTGGTTTTTTGTTCGTATCTTCTCCATCTTCTTAGTCCTCTTTAGTTTTTGCCCCTCACTTCAGGTTTTTCTCTTTCACATATTTTTTTACTTCTCAATACACATTTATTTGACAGCTTCTTCATCGTACAGTCTTTTGGGCCACAGGTTCCACAGGGCCCTTCCCTTTTAACCTGAAATGGCTCAGACACAAAATCCTCTCTGTCTGCTTTCCTGATTTGTTATCCTCTTAATCCATAGCTTTGGAGCTTCCCTTTCTCTTGTTTGGGGGCGCATGCATGCCAGTGATTTGTATAAATGAGAGAGGATTCAATGCCACTCTTTCTCATTTGCACCTTTATAGGCTTTTTGTGAGTGGGTGAGAATGAGATGTAATTACAGTTAATTTGCCAGAAAATATATACTCCCGTGACAACATAGAACATTTGAACATTCTCGATCATGTGTGCACAGTGGAAAATTTTGAGAGTCATTGCTGAGCCATACTATGCTCACCTACTTTTACTAAATTTGCTGTCCATTCTAAATTCTGTGCTCTCAGAGGGCAGATTTCCTGGTCTGCAGCTTTATGGCCCTTCTTGGTTCGGCTGATACTGCCTGCTGGCCTTCATTCAGACTTTCCCTGATCTTCTCCATTCTGAAACAAAAGAAAGCCAGACACACCCACTAGTCAACTTCATCACTCTATTTCCAATGAATCCCTTTCTTCTCTTGCTCACCCCAGGTTCTCTCTTTGTTCTTTGACTCCCTCCCATCTTCATTCTGTGCCATCGCTTTTAAAAACAACCTAGAGATCTCTAACCATGTCATATTCAAAGTTTCTGTCTTTGTGCCTTTTTTGGCAATCTTTATCATCATCCCAAGCAATTAATGCATTCCATAAATACATATTGACCCTGTCTACCAGGAACTTTCGACGTTGTTCCCTACCTTGCCCCTGCTTTTGGTTCCCTGTCAAGGACTCTTGCTCAGTTTCTTTCCTAGATAGCCTTCTGATTATTCCTTCAGTATCTTCCCTCCATGAGCACTTCCCTCCCACGTCCTAATCCTATTCCCAAGAGTTCTTCATTCCCAAGTCCCTTTTTCACTCCTTCTCATCCTCCCTTCCCCACCTGTAGGATCTACCTTACGTATTCCTTTACCCCAACACATTCCTCTTCTCTCCTAATATATGGAATGCAACATGGAAAAATTCATCCTAACTCCAACTCTATCAACACTTGGAATAACAGATTACAAAAAAGCAAAGCTATAACTACCTTCTTTTTCCTTTAGAAAAAAATCATTTCCTAATAACATCCCCAATATTGTTGGCAACAAAATAATTGTGTATTTTCTCTTGTGATTGCAACTTCATGTAAGGTCTGCGACTTCACAACTTTTTCCTATAGGCTCACCAACTACATCTTCCAGATCATCATTTTACAGATCTGCCCTTTTTTTCTGGGATGACTTAATGATTTGGCATTGGGTGGAGGACCAATGACTGTTTTCAATACACATTTGGATTTATTTTTATAACACTATTCAGTCAAGAATTGACTTACATTTGGAAGCTAACTGTTGATTTTCACATAAGCAGCATCCTTCTGCTGATAATTATAACCGATAGTCTCTTAAGTAGTATATGCCCAGTTAGGCATTCCATTTTTGTATTAAAATACTGACAACTACAATTTTTTAGAGAATGTTTTCTTTGCTTTATATTAATAATAATTTATATTATCATGTTTTAAATTTCTCCGATAAAAATGTTGAGCTTACCACGAAACAGCATACTTTATTTTTGGTCACACATTTCTAGATCATAAATTCACCAAAGACATAAGTCCACAGCCAGTCCTGAATTTAAAAAAATAAAGTATGCACATCTTTTTTTTTTTTTTTTGAGACGGAGTTTCGCTCTTGTTGCCCAGGCTGGAGTGCAATGGCACAATCTTGGCTCACCGCAACCTCTGCCTCCCGGGTTCAAACAATTCTCCTGCCTCAGCCTCCTGAGTAGCTGGGATTACAGTCATGTGCCACCACGCCTGGCTAATTTTGTACTTTTAGTAGAGATGGGGTTTCTCCATGTTAGTCAGGCTGGTCTCAAACTCCCGACCTCAGGTGAGCCACCCACCTTGGCCTCCCAAAGTGCTGGGATTACAGGTGTGAGCCACCGTGCTCGGCCAAGTATGCATATCTTACAGACATCTGAATCTCAATATATACTAAACAGAGTTTCTTTCCTAAATTTTATTCAATTCTATGACCATTTCTATGCAAATTCTTCCCAAATCTGTACCTTAAACTTTATTTTTTTTCTGAGCTACAGATGAGATTATAGCTGCCTGCTGGCCACCTCCACCAAAAACCACCTTGCAAACAATGGATCCAAAATGAAGCCTTCCTCCAAGCCTGCTGCTCATATGGGCTGTAGCCTATAAGAATTCTATGAATGATGTGATCCAAATGCTATGGGACCCCCAAGGGTAGAGGGACATTTGCTGCCTGACAAGATGGAGGAAGTCTTCCTCTGTAAGAGCCTATTGGAGCTGATTTTTAAAAAATAAGCAGAAAATCTCCCAGAGATCATTTCAGGCACAGAGAGCCCAATCAAGACAGAATCACAAATGGCCCAAAGCCCCTGTTTCATTCCCATTCCGACTGTCAATACCCTACTTTGAATATATATCCCTATCTTCCACCAGGTCCAGTATCTTCCACCTCCAACCCATCCCCCATGTAGATTTGTCTCTAGTCACTCCCTATCAGGGCTCTATGTTCCAGCCACAATTAAACACGTTCCATTATATTACCCCTCTACTTGGAAAGCCTTTATTTCCTCTCTACCTATAGAAGTTCTACTCACCATTCACCTTAGTGAATGGTGAGGCCTTCCTGACTCCTCTGGGTAGAATCAATGACACTTTCTTTTGTGCTATTATATCATGTAGCTCTGGTCACAGCCAGACCTGTATTACATCTAGTTTTTGTCCACCTCCCCCACCAGACAATAAACTTCAGAACAGAGACCATATCTTACTTATCTGTGCTTCTCTAGTGGTGCCTAACACAGTGCTTCATATGTGGCAGGTTCTCCATTATTATCTACTGAATTGAATTGAATAAATGAATACTGAATGAAAAAAATTACATATAGTTTTATCTACATAATTATAGCTAAGCTGATACAGGTGAATACTATGCAATTCTTTTCTTTTCCAAGTCTCAACTTGCTGTTGAATCATTTGTAGATTTCTTGACAGATTTTTTTATATTACTAGGATTTCATGGTATAAAATATTACCTCATAATTTGACTTACTGTAAAAGTAGTTCCTTAGTTTTGTAATCTGTATATAGCTAAGGTTGTAGCTCTATTATGCTTCTATCTTAACAAGTAAAGCAAGTTCAGTTTTAGGGTGAGGTTTTTTTCCTTTTGCCTCTTGATGACTTAAACTCAAAAGGAATAACTTCATTCCCACACAAAGTGAAATAATTACACTGCAGATGAATCTTGTGCTGCACTGATTTTATGTTCCACGTTAAAATAAATTTTTAATAATCTTTGCATATAAATAATGATTTAATATAGATGTTCCTATCTTATACCGAAACTTCAATAATTTAAACTTTTCTGCAATAAATTTGGCCACCATACTGTTGTTTCTATGTGGCAGCAGCTGATTGGAAATAAATGAAATATTATAGAAATTTTATTTAGCTTGATCCATGTCCATGTCCTTCACCTTGTGGAGATGGTGAAGATGGTAGAGACCTGGACTTAGCAGTTCTCCTCTTTGGGGTTTTTTCATGAGTTGGGACAACTGGAGCCAATGGAACATTTTCAGTCACTATCTCCCTGACTCCAGTTATAAGGTAAATTCTGTGTTGACTAAAATACAGTCTCTAATTTGGGAATCCTTCCTGTGTTGCAAAGATTTAAGAGGATCCTTTTGCTCATTGACTTATGCCAAAAACTAAAGATCAAAATGCCTGAAAAGTGTAACATGAAGATTAAATAGTCACAATAAGAGCTATATTACAGGCTTTTATAATACAATCCATATGTTCCAGTCACAAATCTCATTGATTTTAATAAAATATATTGCTCTCTAGTAACCTACTCTTACATAGGTGGCATAATTCTTAATCTCTTCTGCTTGAAATACCAGATCATTTTCATTCACCAATAAAAGCAAGTTTCTTATTGTAAATTAGTATTTTCAAGATGATGGACTTCCCAATTACCCTGATTTGATCATTACACATTGTATACTTGCATCACAGTATCACATGTACCACCAAATAAGTATGGTGATATATCAATTTTAAAAATACCCAAAAAAAATCAGTATTTTCAATTGTAGATAGTAGAAACATTTCTGCTTTCTCAATCTATCAAATTTGAAAAGCTTATCCTTTCAGTAAACATAAATGTCCTGTGTCTTATAGAACATTGATCCTATGACACACAATGCCATCCAATAGTTCCAGGGTTACTTGCATCAGACATTTTGAAATAACATCCTCTGTGATTGTTTCATTGACCTTGTTCAGAATACGTAGGTGAGAAATTCTATAGTTCTAAATGAAAACAAGCTTTGGCCCTTGAAACACATTGCTTCGTTTATCTGAGGCATATATTATTGCCTATTCTGTGCATAGTAAGATTAATTGAAGGAAGTATTAAGATAAAGTCTTTGACCTCTAAGAAGTCATTATAATTTCACAAAATGAAGAGCAACAGACAACAATAACTATAGAGCTCAGTGTGAGAAGGGATGGAGAAGCAGGAGAGCAGGAAGAAGGTCACTTGACCTTTTTGGTGGGTGGCAGGAGGCATAAAATGTGAAAGGTGTGGACTGATTCTGATGTGTTTAAGAATCAAAGACAAGACATAAGGGACAGCAGTAGAGAGTTTCTGTTGAGGCACAGAGTGATCAGTATGAACTCCAGTGTGCGGAGAGTGTAAACAAGCAATGAGAATAGCAGACTGGAGTGGTGGAAAAAAATCACTGGCATTGCCAAGTGACGGAACTGGGTTTGAGTCCATTCTCTGCACTTACCACTGAGCTGGGTGTCCAGATCTGTGCTCACACCTTAGGCAAATGATTCAAACTCTGAGTCTCTGTTTATGAGATTCAGCGCTTATAAATCATAAAGCACTTCAAAATGCAAGATGATAAAATTGCTGTTAATCATATTATTAACGATCATATTAAACTATTCTCCTATTTACAATCCTCCAGAGACTTCCTTTTGCACTTACAATAAAATCCAAACTTATTGTGATTGACAAACAATGACAAGATCTGGAACCTGTCTACTCTTCAGCTCAGTTATCTCTGCTCACTTTTCTTTTTCTTCTTCCTTTTTTTTTTTTTTTTAAGACAGAGTCTTGCTCTGTCTCCAGGCTGGAGTGCAGTGGTGTGATCTTGGCTCACTGCAACCCCCGCCTCCCAGGTTCAAGCGATCCTTCTGCCTCAGCCTCCCAAGTAGCTGGGACTACAGGCGTGTGCCACCATGCCTAGCTAATTTTTTGTATTTTTAGTAGAGACGGGGTTTCACCATGTTGACCAGGATGGTCTCGATCTCTTGACCTCGTGATCCGCCTGCCTCGGCCTCCTAAAGTGCTGGGATTACAGGCATAGGCCACCACGCCCAGCCGTGCTCACTTTTCTTTAACAGCACTGGCCCCCTTCCCCATACCTCAAATGCCCAGCCAAGCTCAGCTGGGTCACCTGAACTTTCTATCTTTCTATTCCTTCTCTCTCTCTCTTCTCCCTTCATCCTTCTCCCTGGGTGATTGAAGAAAATCTTTAGGTCTTAACTCAAACATCCCAGAAAGGTCTTCTTTCACCACTTTATCCAAAATACAATCCCAACATTTGTCTAGGTCCTGCATCCTATGTAGTTTCTTCACAGCATTTATCACAATCCAAAATTACTTTGCTTAGTTATTTGTGTCTCTGTTGCCAATTGGCTCCTGAATAATCCATTTTTCTACTCTACTGCATCATTCTTATTCCCATTGAGCAACAAAACAAGAACTCCTGACCTTATCTATATTTCTCTTTGGTTGTTGCTTCCCTTTACTGCAAAATTCATTGAAAGGTTTTCTGTGCTTGCTAGATCTATTTCCTGCTCTCCTTTTCTCCCATGGCCATTATTCTATGAAATGTCCCTTATCACTTTCAGTAATGACCCTATATTGCCAAATCCAATAGACAATTCTCAGTCCTCATCTTCTTTTGATCAGTAGCATTTCACAACATTAATCACTGCATCCTCCATAACACGTTACTTTCCTTGGCCGCTTAGATTTTATTATCTCTTGGTTTTCCTATAACCTCAAAGCTACTCTCAATTTCCTTTGTTAGGTCCTTACAACCTTGGAGGGCAAAAAGTAAGACTCAATCTTCTGGTCTCTCCTCAATTTACACTCACTCCCCAGGTCACATTATTCAGTCCCATGGCCTCCATATCATGTATATGCTGATGGTTCTCAAGTATTTATTTTTAACCCAGAAAAGTATCTACTGGATATTTCCACTTGGATATCACAGAAACAACTGATAAGATGTCTGATCTTTTTACCTTCTGCTGCACAAAAAATTGTTCAAAGAGTAGTGACTTAAAACAACAACTATTTTATTATAAGTCACAAATTTGGTTCAGCTGGGTGATTCTTCTGTTCCCCACAAGAACATTTAAGGGTACTTTAGTGAATAGACAGGTCTATGGGACTATCTTTGTCCATCTTCTGTTGCCATCACAGAATACCATAGAGTGAGTAACTTATAAACAAAAGAAATGTATTTCTTACAGTTCTGGAGACTGGGAAGTCCAAGAGCATGGCACCAGCATCTTGTGAGGACCATCATGCTGTGCTATTCCATGGTGGGAGAGCAAAAGGGCAAGTGAGAGTGTGCCTAAGAGAGGAGCTCCAGGAGCTGGGCTTGCCTTATAACAATCCACTCTTGCAACAACTAGCCTGCTCCTCTGATAATTCTTTAAAGATTTTCAGGAAGGCACTAGCACAGCCCTATGCAATCACACAGTTTGTACACTTATAGGCCTAGCTCTCCATATCTTACTCCGCTGGGACTTTTGACCAGAGTACCCACTTGTGGCCTATCCAACATGGTAGTCTCACAGTATCCAGATGTCTTATTTGGCAGCTCACCTTCTCCAGAGCAAGCATAATCTGCAAAGTTTCTTTTGATCTAGCATCAGGAGTCCCAGCATGCCATCTGACTAATGCAGTTGATTAGTCAAACAAGTTACTAAGCTCAACCCAGTTTCAAGAGGAAGAGAATTCAGAGGTCTTAGTATTGCCTTCAAGGGCATATGTAATCTAGTCCACCTCCACCTCCTCGAACCTATTAGATTTTCTAGCACTCTCTCCCCTTCACTGTAATGCAAGTATATATACCTCTTTGCTTTTTCTCAGCAATGGTATTTTGCCTCTGGACTTTTATACTTGCTGTTTCTTATGTTTAGATCATTCTATCCCCAGATTCCTGCATGGCTTCCTGCTTCCTTTCTTTCAGCAGTCTGCTCAAATATCACCTTACTAGACAAGTCTTCTTTAAACCTATCCAACTTCCTCATCACTGTCTGTTCTTTTGTGGTCTTTTATGTCTCTTCTTTCTCCTTCCCTCACCTGACATAGTCTATATTTATTTTATTGGCTATTTGTTTACTACTATATCCCCTCTCCTAGAACAGTAGCTAACACATGATAGGTACTTAACAAATATTTATTGAATGAATAAATATATTCCTACCTCCTAAGACAGTAATTGCACATAGTAAGTACTTGTTGAACATACAAATGAATGACTATTGGTAATTATGGTGGAAACTAAGCAATGAATGTCTTATTCTATAGTTTCCTGAAAATCACTAGATTTTTTTTTTTTTTTGGCATGCACTCTCACTCTGTTGCCCATGCTGGAGTACAATGGTGTGATCTCGGCTCACTGCAAGCTCCGCCTCCCGGGTTCATGCCATTCTCCTGCCTCAGCCTCCCGAGTAGCTGGGACTACAGGCGCCCACCACCACGCCCAGCTAATTTTTTGTATTTTTAGTAGAGACGGGGTTTCACCGTGTTGGCCAGGATGGTCTCCATCTCCTGACCTCATGATCCGCCCGCCTTGGCCTCCCAAAGTGCCGGGATTACAGGTATGAGTCACTGCGCCTAGCCAATCACTAGATATTTTTTTAGCAGTCAGGTGACTGAGGAAATCCACAGTATATGATCTTCTTATTCTTCTATCACTTACTATTCTTATTCCTTCTTGCTTCTTCCCACATTATATTTTGTGAATATGTAGTTACATTAATGTGTGCCAGTTATTTTGCCCACTTTTTCTTCTTAAGTCATTCAGGTGAAGAGTAACTGTAACAAAAGGGGGTGGGGGAAGGGTGATTAAGCTAGTCAAATTATCAATCAATTACATGGAAATTATTATCACATCAGTTACATGAATGACATGAGTTGTTTATAAACTGCTTTGTTAATTCAGCCAAAATAAGAAGCTCTTTAAAGGGAGCAGCTTTAATCTCAGTCAACATTTTCATTGTAACTTAAGTTGTAACTTAAGATATGAATAACTGCTAATATATTACCCCTTTAGTAAGGACTCCTAAAAGTTATCATATTTAACCAGCATGAGTCTCTAAAGTAAAATTTCAGTTATTCCTAGTTATCCAGGTGACAACTTAGAAGCTGACCAAAGGGAAGTACTTTCAAGAGGCCTTTCTGACACTTGTCCACTTCCTATGAGTCAGACAAGTACTGACTGATAGCATTTCATGCATCCACTGTTTTATTTAATCAAAACATATATATTAAATGCCTATTATAAACTAGGTAGAATGAAGTTTATGCCCCTTTTTAATAATTAGGTAGAGAAGATTGAATGTGGAGCTCCAAGGATCTTGGGTATAGTAAACACAGAGTAGCCTCAAGCTAGCCGAAAGCATCTTTGAATTTTAGTTACATTGGCCTCAGAATCTATGTGAATTTGTGTCCTACATCATATGTGTGTTTGTTTTAATAGAAAAAGTCTGGATAATATTTGAATTATCAATTATTGTTAGAATGCTACATAGCTTCTCTCCAAAGCTATTTCATCTATCTATGTATGGAGTTAAGTTGCTTTCCTAGTCTTCTTTGCAATTATATGTAACCATTTTCTTGAGTGTCAGTCGCTGACATGTGATCCTGTTCTAAACCTTACTGAGAAACTTTTTAAAGCTCAATCCTCTGGGCCCTTTCTCCTTTGAGTGGCTTTAAGCAAAAGAGCATGATGGCCAGGAGTTGTGGCTCACACCTGTAATCTCCAGCATTTTGGAGTCTGAGGTGGGTGGATCACTTGAGCCCAGGAGTTCCAGACCAACCTGGGCAACATAGTGAGATCCCATCTCTCAAAAAAAAAAAAAAAAAAAGGAGCATTCTGACCTTGGAAGCCACATGTTGAAGATGGCAGAGCTACAACACAGAAAAAACCTAGGTCCCCGAAGGACCCCTTGAAGGGAAAGCTATATGCCAAGCTCACAGTTACATTAGTGAGAAAGCACTTCTACATGCCGGAGTCATTGCATATTGTGGAGTTTATTACAGCTGCTACCTTTGCCTTAGCAATCTAAATTTCTTACTCTTCTTCAAGATCTCCGAGGAATCATTGATATTCCAGGAAGACATGATATATTTGTTTCATAGCTTAAAGCAACCCTCAGCATATCACAGCAAAATCCTGGCAGGTGTATGTCACCTTTTCTGAGCGGTATGACATGGCACCATGATGCCTCCCCAGTATACATGGTAACCCCGGACCAGTCGCAGGGCCTAAGTAAAAATCCACTCTTCAGTACATGACCACACTGTTGGAGTCTCCGGAGGCCTTGGAGTCTTCCCAGACCTTCAGCACCATGGCCTGTGACCTAATTGAGGAAACAGCTTGGCAGCCAGCTCAGCAAAGCCACCAACCAACCCCTTTCATGAGCAGCAAGGCCTCCCACTGCCATCACCAGATGCCATGCTTTGGCGCTAGGCACCAGATCCCCTCCCGATAGGAAGTATTTCTTTTCTAAAGGGTGATACAGGTTCTGTCACCCACAACATAGTTGTTTCTATAGCCGATATTTGGCAAAAAAAAAAAAACCTGATTTTTAAAATCTTTTTTTTTTAGGTTCAGGTTTGTTATATAGGTAAATTGCCTGCAGCAGGGATTTGGCGAACAGATTATTTTGTAAGCATAGTGCCCAATAGGTAGTTTTTGGATCCTCACCCTCCTCTCACCCTCCATCCTCAAGTAGGTCCTTGTGCCTATTGTTCCCTTCTATGTGTCCATTTGTACTCAATGTTTAGCTCCCACTTATAAGTGAGAACATGTGGTATTTGGTTTTCTGTTCCTGTGTTAGTTTGCTTAGGAAAATGGACTCCAGCTCCCTCCCTGTTGCTACAAAGGACATAATCTCATTCTTTTTTATGGCTGTGTAGTATTCCACATTGTATATGTGCCACATTTTCTTTATTCAGTCTACCATTGATAAGCATTTAGGTTGATTCCATGTCTTTGCGATTGTGAATAGTGCTGTGATTAACATATGCGTGCATGTGTCTTTATGATAGAATGATTCCTATTCTTTCGGGTATATACCCAGTAATGGGATTGCTGGGTCAAATGGTAGTTCTAAAACAACCTGAGAAGTCAAATGCCTTGTCATAAGTCACACAGTTATGGTTTCTGATTCCTCTATTCCTAATGTTCTTTCTGATATCCAATAGTGTCTGAATTCTTGCATGAAAATACCTGCCTGAACATCAAATATCACAGAACTTCACATATAGAAGTGAGCCTAATCATCATTTCAACTCAATCCTTTTGGAAAGGGGCAAACTGTTACATAGGGTCCCCCTGCCGTTTAAGGCCAAGGAAATATTTTCCACAGTCTACTGTGGTTTGTACCTTCAGGTACAAAGACTGATTAGGTAACAGGTTTTTCAAAATGCAGTCCACACTCCTAAACTACAACTGATCTAAATTCTGCCTTCTCTTATATTTGTCTTTCTCCATAGTCTCAGGTATTTCTTTCTTCTCATTCATTATCAGTAAGGGTTTCTTCATCTGCTGTTTTTTTGAAGCCTCATCATTCTGAAATGTCACATAAAATAGTATTAATTTTGGCTTGCAAGCAGTTTCCCTTCACAATGTCCTGTCCCACTCTGTAACATTTTGTTCAGTTGTTTGGTTTGTCATCTTCGGATGTTTGGTGATGAAATGCTGACATATTGCCTGTTTATATGCTGTCATGTCACTTTCTAATTAGGCAACTTAAAAATAAGAGTTTATTATTCTCTGGATCACTTCCATTGGTTGTTTAAATGTTCTTTCTGGGCAATCCCACTAGTTGTTGACTGATGTCAAAACACTCTAAGCTGTTGTATCCTACTGTTTTTTGTTTCTCCTTTATTTCTCATAGTTCCATCTGATCAGGAAATGCCAGTTTTTCTGCCTCCACAGTGCAGGATAGTCCATCACTGAAAGCTTTGTTTTTCTTCAGCACCATTTTACCTTGAATGTGTCATCACCCTTGTTAATTTATCTTAGAATTCTGTGATGAGATGCAGATGCTTTCATGAATTACTGTGGGTTATTAGAGTTGCTTAGTTGACCATGCCCTTGCCCATCCCACAATACTAGACATGAGGTTTGTTGTTCTTTCACCTTCCTAATAATGGCCAAACGCCATGATTCTTTCTGAAAGAACGTCTCTCATTTTCCCATTATTGGTTCCTGTTTTCTCACTTCCCGATTTGGAGACAATTTCAAATTTCATTTTTTCTAAGGCCAATGAAAAGTCCCCATTCAAGATACCTGTGTTTATATCTATCATTTTTTTCTCCTCTCTAATCTCACAGGTGGAGATGATCCAGTTTCTTACCTTCTTTCCATTTTATCATCTTCCGACTCCAAGAACTTACTTCTTTTCTTAGTGCCTGCCTCTCCAGCACACTAAGGTTTCTCCATTGAATGTTCTATGCTTTCTGCCTGCCTAAAGGTTCTGGCATCACTCATCTTGAAAAACCATCTGCTTCCTGATACCTACAATTTGCTTTCTGCTTTTGATTGTCTAACTTCTCACCTGCAGTCTTCTGTCCCTACCACTGCCATCTCTTCTCACCCCGGTGTCTTTCCCACCCACCATGTTTCTCAAGCATGAAAACAGCCTTCTCAAGGGTCGACAGTGACCTCCCACCGACAAGTTCAGAGGCTTTGGCACGTTCCTTAGGCTCCTTTGCAGTGTCGCTCTACAGATTAGACATCACACCCATGCTGGATGTTCCCTTCTCTGTGGCGGATTCTTACTACATCCTGAGGTTTCTCCTCCCACTCCTGCCTGCTCCTTACCTGCCATCTTTACAGCATCTCCCCTCCCTTCTCACTCTTCTAGGTGTGAGGTTCTCCCATGTGTGGGCTCTGCCCTGTGAGCCTTTCTAACTAAACCTCAGCAATTTCATTTTACCTCCTGCCTGCAAAACGATATATCTCAAACCAAACCCCACCCCACCCCGCAACTGGCTGTCCCTTCACACTTCCCTGAAAATAGAATCAGCATTCTCTACATCGGAGTCTCTCACAATTTCAGAATTATCTGTGTAGATTTCCTCTTGCCTTTACCCCTTACCTGTATTCAATCAGTCATAAAGTCTTATTTTTCTTCTATTTAAAATCTCTTAGATCCAACCCCCATTGTTATTTGTTTGTTTGTTTGTTTTATCTTTATTATCACCATTATAATTTGGACATTTAGGCCAGGCATGGTGACTCATGCCTGTAATCCCAGCACTTTGGGAGGCCGAGGTGACTGGATCACAAGGTCAGGAGATGGAGACCCTCCTGGCCAACATGATGAAACCCTGTCTCTACTAGAAATACAAAAATTAGCTGGGCGTGGTGGTTTGCACCTGTAGTCCCAGCTACTCAGGAGGCTGAGGCAGCAGAATCGCCTGAACCCGGGAGGTAGAGGTTGCAGTGAGCCAAGATCACGCTACTGCACTCCAGCCTGATGACAGAGCAAGACTCCATCTCAAAAACAAAAGAAAACATAATAATAATTTGGACATTTACTTGCTCATGCTAGATTTAATGTGATAGCTTCCTGAGCGCTGTCCTTACCTATAACTTTATCCCCTATCTTACTCATTATTGTCCTATCATTCTTTCTTATGAGTTTTTTATTATGTCACTGTCCACATTAAAAACCATCCCTGTTACCCAAGGATATATACAGCTTATGTTCTTTAATTTGCCATTTACTAAACAGCACTGTACAGGGCACTTTATTTACGCATTGTCAGTTAAAACATGCACACACGAGTTCACACACACACACACCTCTAACGAATAATTGTTATTAGTCAAATTATATTAAGAAATTGAGGATTAGAGAGATACTTTCTTGCCCAAAGAAAAATAGTTGGCAGATGACTGTTCTGGAATTCTAACTCACAACTCAAAAGCAGCTCTTAATACCTAAGATATATTGTCTTTATTCTTGGACAATAATCTACTTTTCAGGCTGCAACCATCCATTGTTCCCTTTCCAAAAAAAACATACCTGACATGTCCCTGTCTTTGTGTTCTCTGCTTCCTCCTCTCCATCTATACAAACTCTACTGGGGCCCATCTTAGACCACCTCAGCCCAAGTGGCTTTCTCTCCTTCTCGGACATTTATTGTCACCATCACTCATTTGGTTCACAAAAATATGTTTCTTGTTGCTGTATCTTGTGATTATCTTGGATTGCCATTCGACTTTGTCAGTCAAATCTTGTACATTGATGTATATTGTCTCATTAACTAAATTGTAAGAGAAGAAACTTTCATTTTTTGGACCCACCTCTCATTTCCACCACCTCAACTCAGTACTATGCTCACAACACATACTTATTTTATGGATGATGATATGATTTTGTTTAATGCCTACTGTATGCATAGTAGTGTATGTTTTCCATAGGTGATATATATTGTTCCCGGTGAAGGGGATCCAGGTTCTTGGAATCTTGAACAAAGAATTGGACAAAACACACCAAGCAAGGAAAGAATAAAGCAACAAAAGCAGAGATTTATTGAAAATGGAAGTACACACCACAGGGTGGAAGTGGCTCAAGAGCTGGGTTACAGAATTTTCTGAGGTTTAAATACCCTCTAGAGGGTTCCCATGGGTTATTGGGTATACACCCTATGCAAATGAAGTAGTGGCCTGCAATCAGTCTGATTGGTTGCAGAAAGTGACCAATCAGAGGCTGAAGTGAAGTTACAAGTTATACTCCTGTGCAAATGGAAACTTGCCCCACTGACCAGTCTCACTGGTTGCAGAGGAGGGGACCAATTAGAAGTACTTTCAATTTTTATCTGACATGCAGAAAAGTGGGGGCAGTGCAAAGGGAGTAGCCTCTGGTCCTCTTGTTACTTGGGTGCAGAAAGTTGGGGTTTTCCTCTTGATTTAGATCTGGGAAGTCAGTGTGAATTGGCCTTAGGTTCCCTGCCTCCAGACCCTATTCTGGACCCTATATGACTCCTGCGTTTGTGACCTAGCTGTCTCAGGAGGGTGTAAATAAGAACTGTAAATGCTTTCTAAAGAGGATACAGGGTGAAAAACATCCAAATAATGTCTAATTCCACACCAAGCATTCATCAGTTTTAATATTTTATAAATCTTTATAACCAGAAAAATGAACTACTACTGTTGTATTCCTCAGTTTAAATCTCCTCCTTTATTTCCTAATATGAAAGTAACCAATGAGATGAACTCTTTAACAGCCATTAAAAACTTACTGGAACTAAGAAATCACAGTAGACCTTCAAAGAATCCAACAGCAGAAGTAAAATAAATATATAATATTTTATCTCTCTTTTAATTTCCCTTTGGTTGATTTTAATAAGGAGAATCCCTTAAAAAGCACTCTAAATGATGATAAAGCAGTGTTTTGAAGGTGAGTGGAAAAGTAGCTCTGTCCAGAGTCTACAAAGTCTCCACAACCCAACTAAATATCCTTGATAAATGTTACACAAAAATGTTTCTTTCAACATGGTATATATACTCTGTTGATTTGTTAGGAAATTGTCTGGCCAAAAGAGTAAATTAATCATGTGTTCTAACTGCCATTATTTTGTTGCCCTGGCTTTTTCTTTATTCATTCATCCACCCAAACTTGTCCCAACCTTTCCATCCTTACCACCATGGCCACACTTCATGGCCTCTTTCTTCACTTTAATTCCTCTAAATCACCCACCTGGTCTATCTCCCTCTAGGCTTCACCCTTCACATCAAACCTCCACTGATCCCCAACAGATACCTTTCTAAATTGCATCTCTAAAAATATTATCTCCTGTCTTAAAAGCCTCCCACAATCTTCCAAAGTTTCCTAAGAATAAAGTTTAAATCCTTGAGGCTGGCACACAAAGCCCTTTGCCATCTGACTCTTGCTTTTCTCTCCATTCTCATTTCTCCATGCTTAAATTCTTCCTCCTCATGTTTTGGCTTTCAATGTTTAGGAGAATACGAAGTATTTTTATGCTATTGCCCTTTATGGAGTCATACTTAGAATCAAAATGCAATGCTACATACAAACCTTAAAGCTCAGTCAAATGTTAGAGCATGCAAGAGTTTTCATATAGAGCTGGATGAACTTTCAATGTGTGGTGCTGCTGCAGTGACCTGAGTGTTATTTCCCATGAACCTTTTCCCCATCTATAAATCTTTTCCTTAGAAAGGAAAGGCGCCTGGCTACAGCAAAGTGGTTAGCATGAAACCAACAAGTTCTTTAGGGATTTACCCATCTCTATAGAACAAATTCCTACTGTTTGTCAGGTTTCTGTGAATTTATGTAAACAAACAAGCTTCCCAGACATTAAGGTACAAAACTTAGATGTAGTAATAGAAAAACATCATAGTACAAAAAGGCATTCAATTCTTTTGGAAACACTGTGCTTATTAAAGGCATAAACACTAGGTACAGAAAGTTCAGTAATCCTTTCCCTAAGGGCAATAATGATTTTTACATTACAAAATCCAATGGTTGCTCTTTATTTGAGGGCTGAGAATAAAGTGCCAGTTTGGAGAGGAAACAGTGTAACCAAGTCAAAAGCTCACATCTAAATGGAGGTTCAGTACTTTCCTGTTCTCAGCAGCCTTCATCCAAATGTACTTATAGCCAGCGTGGACTTTTGATTCTCCCAGATTCTGGCTTAATCATCAAAACCCATCAGCTCACTTAATTTTTGCCTACTTTGGCTGTCTCTGCATGTCCTAAGGGAAAGCCAGGAGTCTACACCCAAGTTAACACCTTGATGAGCCTTTGTCTTGGGATCTCTCAATCCTCTATGTTCTCCCAACATAGCAATATTGATCAGCAATAAAATTATATCTGACAACTACTCACTTAGGAAGGAAACAAAGAGACCATGCTTTAAGCTAATTCATATACGTGATCTCACATATAAAAAGCATTCGAAAGCAGTTATTTTTGAAAATAGTAGATGAGTGCTACCATATTGCAGCTTAGAACTCTGAGCCCAGAAGTGAAATAGTTTTCCCAAGCTCTTGAAATCAGTATGTGGCAAAACCAGGATATAAACTGATATTCAAAGGACATACTCTCCCTTCTATGCCAGCTGCTTCCCAGAAGAGACGCATGGACCTATTGTGACAAAGTTAATTTCTAGGAAAAAAGAAATCCAAATATGGAATGATTCTTAGCAGCTCTCATGGTCTTCTTATATCTTGAACGATGAGATAGATTGTTCAGAGAGTATGTTCCACATCTCATAGCTCCGGTTTCTGCTCCCCAGTGAATATTATTACAGTGTTACTAACGCTCTAAGTTCTAGGTCTCCGTTTTTAGAAATGGTGTTTTTAACTCAACCAATATCCCCAGGACAAGTAGAGACAATAACAGGGAGATATAAAGGTACAGAAAAAGATTACCTTAAAAGTCAAACCACCCCACTTTCCAATTGCACAATCTCCTTAACCTCAAATGAAATCCTTTCTTTCAGCATTGCATTGTGATGAACAGTGAAGTACAAAGGAATTACCCTTGTATTATCTCTACCAATATCACAAGTTCAGACTACAACCCATAGCGGCATCCTCCATGATCTCAACAATTATTGGTAAATTCAAATGTCAACATTTCATTGCACAAAAGGTCAATATATCAATGACCTTTTGTAGTTGCTTAGATATCTCTCCTCAAATGGTCTTCTCCAAGCATTCATTCACTCAACAGAATGTCCATTGTGTTTGTCACACTATGGTAGGAAATATTTTAAAAACGCATACCTCTCCACTACTCTCACCAAATATAAACATCTTCTCCCATCTAGAGCAATGTAACAGCCTTCTAACAGTTCTCTGAAGTGGTTCTAAACAAAATCAAGCTACAGCACACCCCTACCTAAGATCTTTCGTGACTGACCATTACAATTACAACAAAAATCAATTTCTTGGTTTTTGTTTTTGTTTTCGTTTTGTTTTGAGATGGAGTCTCGCTCTGTTGCCCAGGCTGGAGTGCAGTGTTGCAACCTCGGCTCACTGCAACCTCCGCCTCCTGGGCTCAGGTGATTCTCTTGCCTCAGCCTCTCAAGTAGCTGGGATTGCATGCACCCGTTGCCATGCCAGACTAATTTTTGTATTTTTAGTAAAGGCTGGGTTTCACCATGTTGGCCAGTCTGGTCTCGAACTCCTGACTTTAAGTGATCCACCCACCTCAGCCTCCCAAAGTGCTTAGATTACAGGTGTGAGCCACCACTGTGCCCAGCCAAAAAATCAGTTTCTTTACCTTGCAAGATCTGCATGATGCTTTTACCTTGCGAGATCTGCCCTCCTTTTCTATGCTTCAGCAATACCAGGCCTTTTCCTTTGATGTTCCCTCTGCCTGGAGTGTTCCTGCACCAAATCTTCACATTTCTGAGTTTCCCTTCAAAATTCAGGTTCACTGAAATGTTATTGTCTCAAAGAGAGTCTTTCTGATGATTCCATCCTAAATAAACTCTCTACAATATTTTTCTCTTCAAATATTCAAATATTCTTTATATTCAAATATTCTTTAGATAATTTGTTAATATATAGAATAATTTTTAAATTATTTAGTATTGGTTCCATCACAAAGGACTATCTAATCCTATGATTTTTGTTAACCACTGATCCCAGGGCCTAAGTAGAACCTGGCTCACCAAGGCTTTCAATACATATCTGCTGAATGAATAAAAGCAGTGTTGACTTTGACATATACACATGAAAGTTTCAATAAAAAGAAAAGCATCAATATAACTGATACCACAAAATATTTTTATTGTAAATCAAATAAGAAAAAATGAAAACAAATTTTGAGTACTGAACAAGATGGACACCTAAGTGATCGTCCTGTTGCTGGAAAGATAGAGGAAACAAAGGCAGCATTTTAAATGCATTCATCTAAAAATTTAATGCAGATCAGCCACCATGATTTATGCCTGTAATCCCAGCACTTTGGGGGGCCAAAGAGGGAGGATCACTTGAGATCCAGGAGTTTGAGACCAGCCTGGACAACACAGTGAGACTCCATGTCTACAAAAACTTAAAAAATTAGCCAGGCATGGTGGTGCATGCTTGTAGTCCCAGAGACAGGAGGCTGAGTTGGGAGGATCACTTGAGCCTGGGAGGTTGAGGCTGCAGTGAGCTGTGATCATGCTATTGCACTGTAGGCTGGGTGACAGAGTGAAATCCTGTTTCAAGAAAAAAAATAAAAATTAATGCAAATATCACTTATCCCAAAAATTTCACTTTTAGGTCTTCATACTAGAGAGATGCTTCTATACGTTACAAAGAAGCATACACAAGGATGTCTGAAGGAACAGTGTTTGTTAAAATAACCAACTGCAAAACTTAAACATCCTTTAGTAGTGAAAGGGTTGAAATAAATAATGGTAATTTCCATACCATGAAATATAATGCAGAAGTTAAAATGAATGATCTCATGTACAATTTCAAGATATAATGTTTCCCCCAAATCAACAGCAATGATATGGTTTGGCTATGTTCTCACTCAAATCTCATCTTGAATTGTAGCTCCCATAATTTCTACGTGTTGTGGAAGGGACTCAATGGGAAATAATTGAACCATGGGGGAGGTTTCCCTCATACTGTTCTTATGGTAGTAAGTAAGTCTCACGAGATCCAATAGTTTTATAAGGCAAAACCCCTTTCACTTGGTTCTCTTTTCTCTCTTGTCTGCTGCCATGTAGGGTGTGCCTTTCACCTTCTGCCATGATCATGAGGCCTCCCTAGCCACATGGAATTGTGACTCCATTAAACTTCTTTTCCTTTATAAATTACCCAGTCTCAGTATGTCTCTATCAGCAGTGTAAATTGGTACCAGTAGAGTGGGGTGCTGCTGTAAAGATACCCCAAAATGTGGATGCAACTTTGGAACTGGGTAACAGGCAGAATTTGGAACAGTTTGGAGGACTCAGAAGAAGATAGGAAAATGTGGGAAAGTTTGGAACTTCCTAGAGACTTGCTGAATGGCTTTGACCAAAATTCTGATATTGATATGGACAATGAAATCCAGGCTGAGGTGGTCTCAGATGGAGATGAGGAACTTGTTGGGAACTGGAGTCGAGGTCACCCTTACTATGGAGAAACTGGCTGCATTTTGCCCCTGCTCTAGAGTTCTGTGGAACTTTGAACTTGAGAGAGATGATTTGGAGTATCTGGTGGAAGAAATTTCTAAGTGGCAAAGCATTCAAGAGGTGACAGAGCATTAAATTTTGGAAAATTTGCAGCTTGATGATGCCATAGAGAAGAAAAACCCCTTTTCTGAGGAAAAATCCAAGCTGGCTATAGAAATTTGCATAAGTAACAAGGAGCCAAATGTTAATCACCAAGACAATGGGGAAAATGTCTCCAGGGCATGTCAGAGACCTTTGCGGCAGCCCCTTCCCATCTCAGGCCTGGAGGCCTAGAAGGAAAAAATGGTTTCATGGGCTGGGCCCAGAGACCCCTGCTGTGTGCAGCCTGGGACTTGGTGCTCTGCCTCCTAGCCACTCCAGCTATGGCTTCACAGGGTGCAAGCCTCAAGCCTTGGCAGCTTTTGTGTGGTGTTGGGCCTGCAGGTGTTCAGAAGTCAAGAATTGAGATTTGGGAACCTCCACCTAGATTTCAGAGGAGGTATGGAAATGCCTGGATTTCCAGGCAGGAGTTTGCTGCAGGATTGGGGCCATCATGGAGAACCTCTGCTAGGACAGTGCAGAAGGGAAATGTGGGGTTGAAACTCCCACACAGAGTCCCCACTGGGGCACTGCCTAGTGGAACTGTGAGAAGAAGGTCACCATCCTCCAGACCCCAGAATGGTAGATCCACTGACAGCTTGCACTGTGTGCCTGGAAAAGCCACAGACACTCAACGCCAGCCCATGAAAGCAGCTGGGAGGGAGGCTGTACCCTGCAAAGCCACAGGGGTGGAGCTGCCCAATATCATGGGAACCCACCTCTTGCATTGGTGTGACCTGGATGTGAGACCTGGAGTCAAAGGAGATCATTTTGGAGCTTTAAGATTTGACTCCTCACTGGATTTTGAACTTGAATGGGGACTTTAGCCCCCGTGTTTTGGCCAATTTCTCCCATTTGGAATGGGTGTATTTATCAAATGCCTGTACCCCCATTGCATCTAGGAAGTAACTAACTTGCTTTTGATTTTACAAGCTTATAGGTAGAAGGGACTTGCCTTGTCTCAGACGAGACTTTGGACTGTGGACTTTTGAGTTAATGCTGAAATGAATTAAGACTTTGGGAGACGACTGGGAAGGCATGATTGGTTTTGAAATGTGAGGACATGATATTTGGGCCCTCCCAAATATCCAGGGGTGGAATGATATGGTTTGGTTATGTCTTGAATTGTAGCTCCCATAATTCCCATGTGTTGTGGGAGGGACCCAATGGGAGACAATTGAATCATGGGGGTGGTTTCCCCCATACTGTTCTCATGGTAGTGAATAAGTCTCGTGAGATCTAATGGTTTTAAAAGGGGAAACTCCTTTCACTTGGTTCTCTTTTCTCTCTTGTCTGCCACCATGTAAGACATGCCTTTTGCCTTTTGCCATAATTGTGAGGCCCCACCAGCAGTGTGGAACTGTGAGTCCATTAAACTTCTTTTCCTTTACAAATTACCCAGTCTCAGGTATGTCTTTATCAGCAGTGCGAAAATGGACTAATACAAGCGACAACAAAAATAAAAACAAAAAAGCTGGTGGCCCAGTAGTTCATATAGGATGTTCCTGTTTATCCTGAAAAACAAAAACAAAAACCCATACATTTTGTATATAGGCTCACATGTATGCAGCAAAAAATCTGGGAGATTCTTTGCCAAATTGTTAATGGTGGTTACTTCTGAGAGGGAATGAGATGATAGAAATGGAAAGGGTGTGAAACAGAACTTTGATATTTTATTCTAAATACTGTTATATTGATTGAATCTGAAAGTTAACCATCTTAACTCAGGAACCAATTCAGTTTAGATAATGAAGGATAGTTATCTTACTTGCATACAAATTTAAAATTTTAAAGGATATAAGTCGCTGTAATCCCAGCACTTTGGGAGGCCGAGGCGGGTGGATCACGAGGTCAAGAGATCAAGACCATCCTGGCCAACGTGGTGAAACCCCATCTCTACTAAAAATACAAAAATTAGCTGGGCATGGTGGCGGGAGCCTAGTAGTCCCACCTACTTGAGAGGCTGAGGCAGGAGAATTGCTTGAACTCGGGAGGTGGAGGTTGCCGTAAGCCGAGATCATGCCACTACACTTCAGCCTGGTGACTCCATCTCAAAATAAATAATAAATAAATAAATAAAGGATATAAGTCTCATGATATATTGAACATCTGTTGTCAAAGTCAAATAAATTGAAGTTAAATATTTTGCCATGCTGTGGTTCTGACGATGAAAGCTATAAATAATTTGTAATCTAGGAGGAAGTAGGCCAGAGATCACATCAAATGTTCTATGAGGTGGTTAGGTTTGAGCTAGACATTGAAGAAGGGGTTTTATTGAATAATCATTGATGAAGTCACCAAGCCAAGGGCATTTGCCTTAGCGGATTCATGGGAATATAAATATTCCTGTCAGGTTCAATTACTTTTTAGCAGAAGCTTTATGAGTCTATCTATCTATCTATCTATCTATCTATCTACCTATCTATCTATCTGCAAAGTTTGGAGTAAAGAAAAAAGTCACCCAAGATTTTTAATGTTATATCTCTAAAGTCAATTTTTCAGATTATGGTGAAAAAAATTATTAAATCAATAGGTGAAATTAAGGCTAAGTAAGGTAAGATTGTAACAAAATGTTAAGGTAAAACATGACCTTTCTGCTTGGTGGGTAATATCCCACAAATCATTGATTTCAATTACACATTGCATTGTCTCAGCCAAGACTGAATAAAATATGCAGAACTGGAGAAGATTGGTAGTGTCAACCTGATTTCATGATGAACTTCTTAATATAGCAATAAGGACAACCTGAGTTAGAAATACAAGAAAGAACAATATCTTCTGGAAAACTTCTTAAATTCAAAGATCTGAATAACCATAAACCTTTTTAAAAAAAAATGACAACTCTATTGTATGGTATAATTCATATACCATACAACTCACATAAAGTATAAACTCAATGTTTTTTGTATATTCACAGAGTACAGCCATCACCACAATCAATTTTAGAACATTTTCATCACTCCAAAAAGAAACTCTGTACTCAACAGTCAATCCCCATTCTTCCCCAACCCTAATCATAAACTTTACAAACAATGGGATGTAGTGACTAAGAAAAGTAATATGGGGGAACTAAAAGAAGAAACAGCAAAAAGTAGGGATAGGAAACTATAAGCAAAGCTGCATGTGGATGGAGCTAAATAATCATGTTGTTCACTTCAAATCCATATTTCAGCAAGTATCCTAGGGATGCTAACAGCAACATGGGCTCATTTTCCTAACTGATAGTCTCACTTTTATAAGGAGAGAAAACACAGAGACAGTATTTTAAAAATACAATATCATGACCTCTTTAAACACAACTTGCCAGAATATGATAAAAATGAAGCTAAATTACCAGAATGTTGACCATAATTCTGTTCACCCAAACCATACAATATTCTACAAGTTAAGAAGTTATTGAGATGTTAAAGTTTGAGAATCTTTTCCGATAGCCCAAAAGGAGCCCCTATTCCTAACTTTCTAAGTTGTAAAAAGGAATTACACAACATTTTCCATCATATTGTCAGGAGTAATAGTTTGTACAATTCAAACACTTTAACCTGAGAAGACTTTTTATTTTTATACTATTTTCTCCCACATCGGATTGAATAATTTAAGAAAGGCCGCTCTTGGACAAAAAGGTCACAGAAAACTGTTCTGGCATCTTGGCCCTCCACCCTCCCATATTTAGGAAACACGTTGAAGTTAATGATAGCCCGCCCAAGTTGACAGCTGTGATTCAAATATTGCCAGCTGCAATCAAACTCTCCTTCAACTAAACTTTTGCACCTTTCAAGACAACAGAAGTCCAACTCCTTAGAGATAAGACAAGGAAAAACACCTAGAAGTAACTGTTCCATGAGCCTGTTTTTCCCTGAGGAGAAGAGAAAGACAAGCAGGTGATACCCTCTCAATTTTTGAGATAATTGCCACCAGTTTGAATGGAGGAGAAGTTTGCATGTAGCTGGAAAAATCTACACAATATGATAGAAATGCATCTAGAATACCAATCGTTAAGGAGGGCTCTCTTAAAGACTGTGTTGCTAGGTGGTTGATAAATAAAAACAAGACAGATTGACTGCAGAGGAACTGAGTCTGAACATGACTTCTTGGACAGGGAAATTAATAAAACGCCAGTGAATGAGGTAAGAAGAATGAGATTAAACATGCAAAGTTTACTTGCATTTTTTTAAGTAATTATACAAAGACAGATACAGTGAGAAGTCACTGGTGTAGAAAATGCGAGACCAGGAAGCTGAAAGGAAGTTTATTTTAAAGGTGGGGTTAACAGGAAAGAGTTGAACCTGTGGGACAACCATCCATGTATTTCTTCCTCTACAGTTTGTTCTGAGGAATGGACTTAGGCCCTCAGTACACAAACCAGCTATTTGTAGGAAAACTGTACTTTGGAGATCTACCCAGACTTTTCACAGCCTCCTACAAAATGCCTGGACAACAGATCTGTGAACAAACAAAAAGTTGCTTGGGTAGCTACATTCACACTGGTAGATTCACACTGGTATGCAAGGATGCTGCCCTAGGCAGCTCCCCATTGGCTGCAGGGAGAAACCAGTTTCCTGGGCAGTCTGGTATTTAAGACTTCCCCTAATCACACCCCAACAATCTCTCCAAAGGTAACTACCACTACTCCTTGAAGCAAAGTAATCGCTTCATCTACCCAAATTAGAGGACTCACTATCGCACCTTGCCCAGTCTCAAGACACACACTGCACTTGCCCATCTGCTGTGCTTTACTGGCTTCTCTTCAGCCTTCCAAATCTGATCAATCCTCAAGAAATTTCTCGAGTCTTACCTCCTTCAAAAGAATTCCTAGCTCTCTGTAGCCTAAGGGAATATTTCTATCCTAGTGTGTATTCTCTGTGATCTGAGTGATAGCCTGCCTACACAGTTCATTTTACTCTTATCTAGGTTTTTTTTTTTTGCATGTTTGTTTGTTTTTCTGGTCAACCTGACTATAAACTCCTTAAGGACAGGGACTATGAAACATTCTTTTCTGTTTATCTCCCTCAGGACCTAACACATAGCCATTGCTCAATAAATATTTGTTGGTAGCTTTTTAGAGATGGAAAAAGAAAAGACATTGTATTGCAGAAATGACAGCTACTAAAATAACTGCAAAGCAATGGCTGAAACTCTCCCAGCCCCATCAGGAGGCTCCCATTCACGCAAGTGTTCAGGGAGCCAGGCTGACAGAGCTCTGCCATCTTCAACAAGTGGCTTCCAGGGCCAGGTTAAGGGCTTCCATCCCAACCAATAGGAAGAGAGGAAAAAGTGGAGTTCCAGCACCAGAGACTCTCCTTTAGGAAGAGAGTGGGAAGTTGCACACAACCCTCTTGAGCGTATTTCTGTGCCTGACCTAGCTGCAAGCAAGGCTAGGAACTGAGGTGCTGAGGCAGGCAGCCATATCCCATCTGCAACTCTTATTCAGGAACAAGAGAAAGAAGGTTTCAGTAGACAAGTAGCATCCTCACCACAGACACTTCCAACACCTTTCCCATTGGCACAGCTAGTGAACTGTTTCAACTACTGAGAAAGCATGGCTCTATGCTGGAAGCCGAATTCCTCTGCTATGTCAGCACAACCTGGAAACCATTTGGAATCCAGGAATGAATCCCAACTCCCTGACCAGATCTCACCACAGACTGGCCAAGAACCACAACTTGGAGGTATGCACCAATTAGAAGTAGTTCTTCCTCTCTCCATCCTCTTAGTAGAAGAGGAAACCCCTCTCCCTTAACCTCTTCAAGTAACAGATGACTCCCATCCATTAGCTCACATCCCATCTGCTATCTCATCAAGGGTTTGGAATAAGTGAGGTCTAGGCTGCTGTCAAAGAGATTGGAAAGTCCTGTGCCTTTCCCTTTACTATACTGTTATGTTGCCAGAGCCACACTCACTTACTAAGCTCTGTAACAGATCTGCCCAGACCAATGGACGCAGCTCACTCACAGATATTTAAAAGCCATCTATTTCATATCCAGTTTTAATTCAATTGTAAAACACAGATCACATATTAGGAGCAAAGCACTGTGTGGATATTGATTTTACGAAGTCACAGTTCCTTCCCTGAAGTTGTTTAGAAGGCCAGGAAGGACATAGATTTGAGCAACTAACTCTTTTGCAAAATACAATAGGTCTAGTTGAACCCAAGGTACAAGCAAAGTGCTGTGAGACTGTGGCCAATGGAGGAATCAATTCTAACTAGATGGCCAAGGAAGATTTCAAAACACATTTAGACAAAAATATTTCCCGAAAGATGTGGCATTTGAACAAGACCTCGAGGGATGAGTAGAATTTTAACAAGGGACAGAGAAAGAAAGAGGCATTCCAGACAGAGCGTGAGCAAAGGCCCGGAAGTACAAGAGTGGATTCGACAGCACAAAATGTCCTGTGGGACTGGGATGCAGGACACAGACATGGAGACTTGAGCATAAGGAACTGGGGTTCCTCTGTTTTGTAGGAAAGTCTTTGAGTGCATTGAAAAGCCTGGACCATCAGGACTAGCAATGACTGCAGATGTCTGAAGAGTGCAGGGGACTGATTGACTCCTTGTAGGAGGAAGACCACTTTACTAAAATTGTGGGAGGAAGAGATAGAGAGGCAGGAAGACCAACAGACACTCACAATAACTACCATGTACTGAGCACTGACTAGCCAGACACACATGCTAAGTCCTTGATTTCCATGCTTTTATTTAAGAGGAAAGTCCTATAATTTATTCCTGTTTCATAGATGGGTGATAACCAAAGTCCTACACCAAGTACAAAGGCAGGATTTGATCCTGCTCTGTTCTAACTGGAGAGTCCGGGTGCTTTACTAGGGTAATCACTGCACAGTAATCCTGTCAACATGGCAGCAGTTCAGCGCAGACACACAGAGGGACTGCATGACGGCAAGCGCCATGGAGGGAGGGCATTTAATGAAGGTGCCAGTGAATGATCAGAAGTCACTCCTGTAATCCCAGCACTTTGGGAGGCCAACGGGGGTGGATTACCTGAGGTCAGGAGTTTGAGACCAGCCTAACCAACATGGTGAAATCCCATCTCTACTAAAAATACAAAAATTAGCTGGTCATGGTGGTGCACACCTGTAATCCCAGCTACTCAGGGGTCGGGGGTGGCTGAGGCAGGAGAATTTCTTGAACCCGGCAGGTGAAGGTTGCAGTGAGCCAAGATCATGCCACTGCACTTCAGCCTGGGTGACAGAGTGAGACTCTGTCTCAAAAAAAAAAAAAAAAAAAAATCCAAAGAAGGCTCTAAGGACTGCAACTTGAAGGAGTATGAGATTGGATGAGGGAAAAGGATAATAAACTCTACTTAGACCCACTGAATTTTGAGTGGCTAGAAAGAAAAACTATAGGAATTCAAACCATCCATGAGAGAGCTGGGGTCCAGGGATTAAGGAGAAACACGCGCAGAGTGGCAAGTTATAGCATTCATATTTGTTGATTCCATGCCTCTTAGCTAAGCACAAGAAAATCAGCAGCATGTGAACAAACAGGAAAGCAAGTAGCTGCCTGACTGAGCTCTAATCAACTGATTTGGAAGAAAAATTCAACTTGATTGACTGGCTTGCATTATAGTGACAGCAATAAATCCTTTTGGCCAAACAGAATTTGGTTCAACTTGAAACGTATGCTATGTATTATTGCTTTGCATGCTGAAATATTCATATATCTTGGGAAAGTATCAAAAATTATGTTTTTCTTTTCAAAGAGTGGAATGTAAAATACCCACCAAATCCTCCTGGATGGCGCCTGGGTGAATGTATTCCTTGTTATTTCATTTAAGCTGCTAAATATCTATTAGAGTAAAATTATGGGCTCTTTGCACATGGCATTTTCACTTGTAGCTTCCTGTGTGCCAAAGCAATAAATGTGATTCAGAGCCCTCCTTTTTGTAAGGCAGGTCCACCTCGGGGCTAGTTATTGCCTTACTAGTGGCCAATGGTCCCTAAGAAAAACTGTTTCCCCTATGCACTAATCCAGAGGGACTCAGAAATGGAAACCAGATTTTTTTTTTTTTTTCTGAGATTGGGTCTCACTCTGTCACCCAGGCTGGAGTACAGTGGCATGATCATGGTTCACTGCAGCCTCAACCTTCCAGGCTCAGGCAATCCTCCCACATCAGCCTCCTGAGTAGCTGGGACTACAGGCGTGCACTACCATGCCTGGCTAACTTGTTTTTATTTTATTTTATTTTATTTTTTGTAGAGATGGGGTTTCACCACGTTGGAGAGCCCAGATATTGGATAGACACAATGACAAACCAAAGCTACCTGCTAATGTTAGGCTTTCTTTAGAAAACCTCAAGACACTAGCAATTAAACTTATCAGAGGCTGTCACTCTGTGACCTTCACTCTGACCCAGGAACTGCTCTCTCCCGAAATGACCCACGCACCTTACAAAGTCAGGATGACTCCTTTCTCTCTGTCTTTTTTTTAATTAATTTTAAGACTTCCTTCTCTTTAAGCTCTTTCCACTTTACTACAGAGTATATTTCAAGTTTTTCAGGTGAGTCACCTGTATCCTCCTTTGCTAAGCAATGAATAAAAGTGGAGGGTTGGGGTATATAATTCAAATGCTTTATAAAAAAAAAGGCTGTTCCCTTTTTTAAACTATACTAACTTTCCCACCACATATAATGAATAAGTACAAGTAAGACATTGAGGTCAACAGCTTTATCAAAGCACAGAGCTGTCAGGTTATAGGACAGGATATTTGCCAAATCAGAATGCATAAACTTTTCGTATGGAAACTAGAACATGAATTAAGCTCATATCACTCAAAAAGAGCTGAATGCATCTGAAACCAAAGCACGCTGTCAGCCACCTCCATTTGCTCCGGGCGCTGATACCTTGATTAGCTATGCAAGAAGCTACCTGCTATTTTAGAATTATATGAAGTCACCTCAGGGTATCTACAAGCTTCTCACGCACAAGATACTGACTTTTTTTCCTCCTTCTTCTTGGCTTACAGCACAGTTGTTGCTACATCCAGGTAAATACTATATCAGGGATTGTTATTGCATAAGCTGTCATTAAGGCAGCTTGCCTTCTCACAGAAAAATCAGTCTGCAAACAATAATGGTTTGTTGCTAAACCCCTCTAAGACTGAAAGAACCTAGAGTTTTTGTTTTCATTTTGTTTTCTTTTGTTTTTGAGTAAGTACTCCCCTAACAGATTAAGGAGCTGAAAGCTTAATTTCTAAAAAGGATTTTTTTTTTAAATAATAAAGAATGTTCCCTTCACCCCGTCTTTTTTTGTTGTCTGTTTTAATAAATTACCTTCTCTCCTAAAATAGTAACTAAATTTATAGGAGCAAAAGAGTAGCTTACATGATAGGTATCTACCAAACGAAGCTGCCAGTGTACATAGTATTACAGGTACCATGCAGTTCAACATGTTTTTACCTGAGGTACATAGATTCTGTTTTGATACTAGACTGTTTGAAAACATTTTCAGATGAAAACTGATCATGAACGTGAAGGACTGACAGCTCAGACTTCAAAAGCCAAGGTTAATCAGGGCTTTTGTATATTTTCGCAAATAAATATATTAACATAACTAACCTTTGACCTGTACCGTCCTTAATCTTTCAGCCCCAAGCTTCTGGGAAGGGTGTAACAATTCTGGCAAACTGATCTGTGCCAAAGAGAGTGCTGAACACTTACTATGGTGTAGATCGAAACCACCTTAATCACTCACCTTTCATCTCCCCAGAGTTCTAGAGTGTAACTTATTCAAACTGTTCTTAGACTTCTTAAACTTAATCTTCTCCCACAAAACTTGACAATTTCATATATATATATATACACACACGCACACACACATGTATGTATATACATATATAAAGACAAGTACCAAATTTCTGCTTCTGCTCGTTTAGCTCAGAGGCATTTCCCAGCCCTGACTCCTGGTACAAACCATCAAAAGTGTTGCTCAGAATTGGAGTCTACATCAGACCTAGACTCAGATTGTAATCCTTTGCAACTAGCCCCTGTGCTTGCCCCTTCCTGGTGTTAGCATGTACAGTCTGTAAGTCCAATCTGCCCCGAGGCCTTAATAAAATTTCCTTTGCCACACATGCAGTTATTAAGCATGCAATTTATATTGCCAGGTGCAAAACTTTCTCATGCAAATCTCTTTGACCTGAAGTAACCAAATGCACCTAGAAAGAAGAGTTTACTGCTTACTCCACAGATCCACAGTAAACGCCATCAATCACATCTTGTTCTCTCTTACTGCAAATTGCCGTGGCTTAATTAGACATAGCTGAAATCCAGGCAAACCTATCAGGGTCTATCATGGATGAATTGAACCACGGCTTTGCAACAGGATTAACTTTAGTCTTTGTGACTTTTACAAATAAAGAAGGTGAGAAAAATCTTAAGCGCTCCACTCCTGTGATGTGAAGGCTACCCGGCTGGTGAATGGTTCTGACTCAGGTCATTCTGATCACATAGGCTATGAAAAACTGATATGAAATCATTATTGCTACACATAGTATTTCAAAACTACGCCAAATTCTCTAACTCTGAAATCAGACTTCCAGGTGATTAGTGAGTGTTTTGGGGAGGAAAGTGTTGGAACTGGAGACTCCTTTCCAGTGTGGAATTGTTGAGTTTCCCTGGATGTCACCCATGGACTAAGACAGGAGGTTGAGAATCTCAGAAAGATTACCCAGTTACAACCCTTAACCTTCCATTCCCAGAGAAACTGAGATTAGTTCCCTAATAGCATGCAGGAAAATGGGGGGACACTTTTTTTTTTTTGAGAAAAAGTCTTACTCTTTCGCCCAGGCTAGAGTGCAGTGGTGTGATCTCGGCTCACTGCAACCTCCGCCTCCCGGGTTCAAGTGATTCTTGTGCCTCAGCCTCCCAAGTAGCTAGGATTACAGGTGCCCACCACCACACCTGACTAATTTTTGTATTTTTAGTAGAGACGAGGTTTCACCATGTTGGCCAGGCTGGTCTCAAACTCCTGACCTCAGGTGATCCACCCTCCTCGGCCTCCCAAAGTGCTGAGATTACAGGCCTGAGCCACCTCGCCGGCCTTGAGGACACTTTTCCAGCCCTACTGCTGAGGCACAGGAGCCTCCAGGGGTCGGTCCATGAGTATTTTCCCTATCAATGTCACTGGTCTCCAAGGAACAATAGGTGAATGTGCTTGAAAGGCTCCCCTTGTCCCTGAAATCAAAGAGAACACTTTGCCATTGGCTAATTGCTTATTTATTCATTCAACAAATAATTATTCACAGTATACTAAGTTCTTGCGTGCATGCATCATTACACTGGAAACATTATAACAGGAAACCCTAGTTAAATAAATGCTAGTTTCCTTCTTTCTTCTCTCTGGATAAATACCTTCTAATTGAAAACAATGAACTGACAAGTCATCATTTGAGGACTGCCTTCAACTAAATTCCAGCTTTAACACAAAGGGTTATAGGAGGCTCCAAAGTGTCGATTTCTTTTTCAAGTTATCTCATTTCCAAATGGATACTGATAACCAGAATTAAGGTAAAACGCCTTTCCGTACCTGAGAATACGATCTGAATGGTTTCCTTATAGTATTTCTTGACAGCGAGCGTTATTACATTTAAAAAGAAACTATAACATTTTTTTCTCCTCGATTTTCAGGTGTAATTTGGCATATAGAAATTGTTTTTTCTTCATAATGCAAAGAGTGGCATGATACATTTGATAGGTAGCATTTTATTACAAAATCACCAGGTAATAATTACCCAGGTGACTCATGATGAAGTGTAAAACCGTTCTCAGGCTATCTAAAAAGGAAGAATAGTTCATTAAAGTTCAGTTGTAGAAAACACAAATCTGAAAGCTTAGGTTTTTAGAAATTGCCCAATTTAATGAAGTGTACGTTCCCTTACAATTGGATTCTCACCAAGCCTGTGAATGCACAGCTAAATTAGTCATGTGAAGAGCAGATTAGTTACAAGATGGGAATCACGCCATTCTCCTTTGTTTACCGCAGACCAACAAGGGTTGCATTACAAGTGTTTATTATTTCTGAAGATGTACTATCACATAAACATGAACGGGAAATTCTCAAAGTGGATGCTGCCTAAAAACAAGCCCCCACCTGGAGTAAGCCTTCCACCAGTCTGCATGGAACCAGATCTTTCCCCACAGCAGGGCAGGCTCTAATGTAAGATGTCACTTCTCTAGCTCAAATGGAGTGGGAGAGACTAAAGGCTGAAAGGAGAATACCGGGTCACTGAGTAAACACATGCTAGCAGAAGTCCTTTCTGAAATGGATCGAGTGTCTTTAATCCTGTATTCTGGCCTCCAGATGATTTATGGCTCTTATTTTCTTTTCTCCCTTTCCTTGTAACACTTGCCAAAGTAGACTCAAGCTCTGCCTTGAAGCATGCAAACACAGAGTTCTGTCTTCCCTGATGAATCGGATCTGTGCCAAGTGAAAGCTTTAATGACAAATTTATGCTCCAAAGAAGGGACAAGGTGATAGTCTAAAAGGTGAAGAGAAACACCACTGAGTGTTCCCTCAACTGTCAGAGTTTAGAAAATGAAGACCTCAGCCATGATCCTTCCTTTGCACCTCATTACTGTTCCCCACCCTGCCCCAGCTCCAGCCCAGTTATAATAGCAAAATTGCACATAGATTGAGACTGATTTGTTTTGGGGAGGGCATTCGAAGTTATGCCCTGCCATCCTTTTGTTCTGCTTTATTTTAAATGACAAGGAATTGTTTGTCTGCCTTCTCTAACCCTCCCCCTCCCTCAACCATAAACGGATTTGCTTTATGGCAAATTCTGAAGCAGGTAAAATGTGTCTCTGGCACCCAGCCAACTTCAGTTCTGATCTCTGCTCCATTCCCACCCACCTCTAGCCTTCCCGAGCTTCATGCCACAGAGGCTTGCTCCTATTGAGGATATGAATATCAAAATCACAAGACACCCACCTTCTGTCTTTCTTCTCATGCCTCAATTACAAGAGAAGACTTCCAAATCTCTCTTTCCATCCCAGGTCTTTACCCTGAATTGCAGAGCTACAAATTATTGTATGGGACATCTTCACAGGAATATCCAGCAAACATCTTTCCTTATAAAGCGGTTCTTCTGTATTGACTATTGGTGCAGTCTTCCTTCCCATTACCCCAGTCAATAGCCATAGAGTTGCACTACACCCTATACGTTACCTAACACGGTAGTTTTCAGTCCTGTGTAGTCTACCTTTTATCCAATTCATCCAGTACTTATGGAGTGCCTACTCTAGGCCAGGAACTTTTCTAGGCTCTTGGGATATGTCAGCAAGGAAAGTGGGGAAAGATCCCTGCCATCCTGGAGTTTACATTCAAGTTTTAAAAGACCAGTAATGAGGGTGATATTGGTGATAATGACAATGATGATGATGGTGATGATGATAAGTAACTAACATAAACAGTCTCTTAGAAAATGAAAAGTGTGATGGAAAACAATTTTTTAAAGTAGAGCAGAACTAAGAGGATTGGGAGTACTGGTGAAGATGAGCAGTGAGCAGTAGAGGGTGAAATTTGTTTTCTTTTTCTTTTTAATTTTTTAGAGATAGAGTCTTGCTCTATCACTCAGGCTAAAGTGCAGTGGCATGATCATAGCTCACTGCAACCTCAAACTTTTGGGTTCAAGTGATCCTCCCACCTCAGTCTCTTGAGTAGCTGGGACTACAGGCATGCATCACCATGCCTGGCTAATCTTTTTTTTTTAAGACACAGTCTTGCTATGTGCCCAGGCTGGTCTTGAACTCCTGGTTTCAAGTTATCCTCAGCCTCCCAGAGTGTTGGGATTACAGGTGTGAGCCACCACGCCCAGTAAGGGAGTGAAATTCTAAACAGAGAGGACAGGTAAGCTTCACTGAGATGTGATATTCGAGTATGAGGGCATCAGCCAAGGTGGTATCTGGGGGAAGAGTGTTCCTGGCATAAGGAACAGCCAGTGCATGCAGTTTCTACAGTGGGAATATTTCTAATATACTCAGCAAAGAGGACAGTGAGGTGAGAGCTAGGGAATGAGTGGGAGAGTGGTACAAGGGGAGACCAGAAGGGAAAGCAAGGACCAGGCAGTGTCAGACCTGTGTGCAATGGAATAACTTTGGCCTTTACTCTAAGTCTACTGGTGGGGGTGAGGAGGGTGGTAGAATTTTACATTTGACTTATAATTATTCTGGCTACTGTATTGAAAACAGACTTTAGGAGAGCAAGAACAGAAGCAAGAAGACCAATTAGGAGGTTATGACAATAATCCCAGTAAAGGATAATATCATAATTCCACGTGGTTTCAGCAGAGGTTATAAGAAATGGCCAAATTCTACATAAATTTTGAAGGAAGGTCCAACAAGATTTATTTTTCCTTTTTGTTTTGAAATAATTTTAGATTTGTAGAAATATTGAAGATATAGAAAATTCCCTTATATCCTTCACTCAGCTTTTCCCAATGTTAACTTATGTGGCCATTTTGTAAAGTTCAAATTCAGGAAATTAACACTGATATGATACCATTATGTCAAGTTCAAGTTATGTTCTCTAGCTTTTCCCCAATGTCCTTTTTTTGTTCCAGTATTAATTCCAAGATCCCACACTGAATTTAGTAGTTGTGTTTTCCTGGGTTTCTCCAATCTGTGACAGATGGATCCTCAGTATTTCCTTGGGTTTTTTCTTGATACTTTTGATGAGTAATGGTCAGTTATTTTGTAGAATGACCCATGATTAAGTTTGTCTGCTGTTTTCTCATGATTGGATTGCATTTTTTGTCAAGAATATTACAGAAATGATGTGTGTCCTTCTCAGTGCATCATATCAGGATATCCATGTCATCAATATGTCTTACTAACTGGTGGTATTAACTTCCAGTCAGATTTCTTGACAGATTAAAATATGGGGAATCAGACAATATGAGGAGTCAAGAATGACTCCAGTTTTTATTGTGAGCAACTGGAATGATAGTGTTCTCAACTTAGATAGGTGGAACAGGTTTAGAGGAAGATCAGTGTTTAGTGAAACATGTTAAGTTTGAGGTGTCTATAAGATATCTGTATGGGGGTTTCAAGTAGGCAATTGGATATATGTTTGGGGTTTGGAAGAGAGGTCCAGCTAGAGAAATTAAATTAGTAATCATCAGTGTGTGTATATATATATGTCTTCATAACTGTCAGATTAAATGAGTTCACCAAAGGACACAGTAAAAATAGAAAAGTAAAGAATAAGGACTGGGTACTGGGATATTCCAACATCAGAAAGTTGGTGACAAGAGAAGAAACTGCAATTAGGAAAGATAGCAGGAAACCCTCTTAATTGATTCTTTATCCTGTCTTCTCCATCTTTTCTCCCATGGCCTAATGTAGGTCAGTTTCCTTAAAATATTATCTACTTCTTTGGGATTCATCTCCTGTATGGAAAATGAAGTTTTAAATTAGCTTCTAGGCTAGGTGCAATAGCTCACACCTGTACTCCCAACACTTTGGGAGGCTGAGGCAGAAGAATCGCTTGAGTCCAACAGTTTGAGATTAGCCTGGGCAACATAACAAGACCCTGTCTCTATTTAAAAAAGAAAAAATAAATAAATTGGCCTTTCATATATAGGTTTGTTATGAGAATTAGGGCAGACCAGTAAGCTGTTTTTCAGTGTCCAGCATGTGATACATGTTAGCTATTGTGTCACTGCTTGTTTTCTGTCTCCTTCAGTAGGCTGTGGACATCTTAATAGCTAAAACAGTTTTTTTTCATTCTAGTACCTCGTACTCATTGATACATCATTAATGCTTAATAAATAATTCTTGAATGAATAGAGAAAAGAAGAAAAATAATTGACACTGCTTAACTCAAAAGATTGAATGCTTATGAAATTCCATACACAGTGACAGTTGGGATAAAAGACAGATTTTGCCAGAGGGTCCTCCCTGATGCCTTTCAGAGCCTACTACCTGGATGACCATCTGGCTGTTGATATTCACATTCTGTGTCTTGAGTGGAGAAGAGCTACTGCTGAGCCCAGAACAGCCCTTTCCTGGAACTTTCTTTCACTGCATTTATTTTTCAAAATTCATGGGCCAAATCAGTCTCTCCCATTAATGATAACTATCACAAGAATGGCATTTAATTACTGACGCTGGAATAGAAGGATGAGGTTGACTTGACAGACGTTAATCTTTTTTACCTCTTTGAGGTTGTATTTGTAAAAATAGAAATGATGCCTCTTCTAGTACAATGCTATGGCTGAACAAGACCACTTCTTTTGGTCCTTTCTTAATAGGCAACAACATGATGAGAAATATAAATCAGTACTATGCTTATTGTTCTATAATTAGACAGCTAAGGCATCCGATAGAGAGAGCACGTATGTTTCAGAATTTGTAGAACAAACATAGGCACCCAAGTTCTTCTGATCCAAATGAGTGCTTTTTCCATGGCACCATGCTGGAAAATAAGATAGAGAATCTACTATGATTAGGAAAGAAGAAAGCATTCGGGTGAATTTTGGGTGGAAAAAAACAGAAGACTGTGCTTTTGCCACATGGAGGGACTCCTTGATGAGTCTAGTGTTTTCTAGAATGTCCATTTTGGTGCTCTAATTTAAAGGAAAACTTCAATTCATTTAAGCCAGGTATTCAAACTATAGATAACTATCATTTTTTCCCCTGTAGGTCAATGTTACAACCAATTTGCTTATTTTCAATGTTTTCTCCTTAACCAACATTGCATCTTTAATTTCCTTGTGTGAAGGAGTAGGAAGAAAGACTGAAGAACTCAACAGCAGTGTTCACACTTCCCTATATAGGGAGCAGTGGAACTGGACCAACGAATAAGAACCTTTCTTTCATTAAATAGCTGTTTCTTTTGATTTTGGCACCTATGCCCCATTTTGTAGAGAAAAAAGGATATCACTGGAAAACAAGTATATGTGAGAGATTTAATCTCTGCATCAAAAAGGCAATTTCTAAAGTAAACCCCAGTCTATATGCATTCAGGGCTCAATTAGCTATACCTTCTATATCTACATTTACCTGGCTACACAATGAGAATTCTTATCTTTAATCATGACCTGGGGCCACTGCAAGACAATCATTAAATGTGTTCACTAAAGTGTACTTACTAGGGCAGAAAATTGGAATAACATACTTCAGGAAGATTTTTTTTTTAACAAACGTTGAAATTTAAAAATGGTTTTCTAGTTAATCTTCAGTTAATGAAAAAAATTTTACTGTATCACACTACTGCAGTTTGGGATGGAAGAGAACATCAAATGATAATCATTTTTCTCCATGTGGTTCATTTTAGCAAATATTCCTTCAGTGCCTAGTGTGTTGTTACATGAAAATAAATATGAAATAACCCTACCATTGAGACCAGGATGAGCAAACTATAGAACATGGGCCGAGCCTGTATGGTATGGTCTACAAGTTAGGAATAGTTTTTACATTTTTAAATTGTTGAGGGGAAGAAAAAAAAAGCAACAAAGCAACAGAAGCAACACATGAAAATTAATTATATGAAATTCAAGTTTCTGTGTCCATAAATAAAATTTTGTGGAAACACAACCAACCTTGCGAGTATTCCTTTACATTTTATCTATGAATGCTTTCACACTGCAGTGGCTGAGTTTAGGCTGGCAGAGACCATTTGGCACGCGAAACCCTCTACAGAAAATGTTTGCTAAACCTAGCTTTAAAAGCTGACTATCTGTAGTGGGACAGAAGTACATATAAACTTAGTTTCCTTTTTTTTTAAAATACAATGATCACATTTTATTTAATTAATTAATTTATTTATTTTAATTTCAACTTTTAGATTCAGGTAGTACATGTGCAGGTTTGCTACGTGGGTATTTGCATAATGCCTAGGTTTGGGATATGGACTGATCCTGTCACCCAGGTAGTAAGCATAGTCCCCGGTAGGTAGTTTTTCAACCCTGTTGCCTCTCCCTCCCTCGCCACTCTAGCAGTCAACAATGTTTATTGTTTTCATCTTTATGTCCATGTATATACTTAGTTTTCATAACATATCATTAGTACTGTAATAGAGGTATAGTAACAACAGAAAAAGTTATCCCTGCTACTTCAAGAAGTTTGAATTTAATGAGTATATTTAATGACAATGAAGGTATCAAAGTAAATTAAAACAGAAACCAAGCTGAAGGCTCTCTGAGCAGACAAAACCAGTTAGGCCTCATAAGTGACCTAAACCTTGCTTGATTTGCAAACATAAGCAAAACTTAACTTGAGTTTTTTTTTTTTTTTTTGCAAATGCCTATATTAATGGAAAACAGAACTTAAGCTCAACCGGTCAGAAGTACCCAATATACTTATAATTATATAACTAGGGACTTTCCAACAGGATCAACCAAATCGGCAAAATATTTTCTTTACTTCTGTGTCCAGCCTATGACAGCCTCCTGCTTGTGTTCTCTCAGTGAAGCTCCTGAACAACTTCTGATTTGAAGCTGCTTGGTTCATGAATCACTGTTTGCTCAAATAAACTCTAAAATTTTGTTGTGCCTCAGTTCACCTTTTTAAGAAAGGCAGTGAAGGTTGATGAAAGGGATTCTAAGCCAGGATACGGTGAATGGGAGTATAGCATAGGGACAGAGGAGGACAAACCCATAGTATGTCTGGGAGAAGTTCCATAAGGAGTGCAGAAAGAAGTGGGAGAAGAGATTTAAAAAGTACATAAAATCAGATGAAGATTTGGGATCTATTTAAAGATCAAGTGTCTCTTGTACACTTTAGTCATTGGTGGTTTTAAAGCAGAAGTACTTGACCAGATCTGTTTTAGAAAGATAACTCTAGCAGGAGGGTGGAGGCAGGAGAAGGGCTGAAAGAAGGAGAGGAATAAAGGCAGAGAAACCAGATAAAGGGTATTGCAACAATTCAGGTGGGGGAGATGATGATCTGTCTCAGGACAATTAATCATCAAAGGAGTGGGGTGGAGTTGAGGGGTGTAAAAGAAATTCAGACTCACTGAAATGGTGACCAACTGGATTTGAAAAGAGAGAGAGAGAGAAGCATCAGGGTGACATGATACTACACCACATTTCTGGACTGAGAAAATATCATCTGAATATGAGCTCCTTGGAGAAAAGCTCCTTGTCTCTTTCATTCATTGATCTATCCAGGATGTAAAACAATGCCTGCCTCTTAGAAGACACTCAACAGATATTTGCTGGATGAATCCATCAATTAATGCCATGAAGCAAGATAGGAAACCAAGATAAACAGATTTGATAGAAAGGACTGGAACTTTCCCATATCCCCTTTCGGGGGGATAAGATAACAAGCTCTATTTTGGATAAGTCATGCTTGAGGTGCCACCAGATATCTGGGTAGAATTGCCCAGTAAGACCTTTTGCAATAGGGGCCCAATATTCAGCTGAGAGACCCTAATGATATTGAAGGTCAACAACATAGAGGCACTAGATGAATCAGTGGGGTAAATGAGAATATTCCTTTTTAAAAAAAATACCATACCTGGATGCCTTTTTTCATGTTAAACTATAAAATAATCCTGTTTAATTGATTAGGCATTGCATTTCTTCAAGCCTGGGTTCATTGTTCCATTTGAAAGATTTAGCAACCATCCGCTGCTACAGCCTTTCCGATGCCATAAATATACTGAGTAAGAGGGACAGAAAGAAAGATATTGACTATATTCTAAAGCATCATTAAATGATTTAGTGTCCTCCACTATATAATACTACAATAAAGCAAAATTATAGTTATCTTAGCATTCAACGATTACACCGTCAAATTTTAAACTGAGTCAAGAAAATAAAACAAGTGTAAAATGAATAGGGCATTGTGCCTAAAATTTGCTTTAAATAAGCATCCAGCAAAAGAAAGGCTTGATTATACTGAAACTGTATGCACAAAAATGTGTTGCATCTTTCTATTGTTGGAAAGTGAAGCAGGACTCCAATTGCCCAGAATGAAGTTAGCTGGGTATAGGTCATTCACAAGGTGAAACCGCATGGCAGAAGACTGGTAGGATTTGGTTTCCTTTTCCCACAGTGTGACAACTGGGAGTGTTTGGGAAACAGCATTATGAAAAGTGAAACATGTTTTGATATTTCTGGACTTCCTGGAGTCTCATCCAATAGTGTGCCTTGTACATTTTTAAGAGAAACATACTATGTGACGCATTTTCTTTTTCTTTTTCTTTTTTTTGAGATGGAGTCTCGCTCTGTCGCCCAGGCTGGAGTGCAGTGGCGCGATATCGGCTCACTGCAAACTCTGCCTCCCAGGATCAAGCAATTCTCCTGCCTCAGCCTCCCAAGTAGCTGGGATTACAGGCATCCACCACCACACCTGGCTAATTTTTTTTGAATTTTTAGTAGAGATGTGGCTTCACCATGTTGGCCAGACTGGTTTGGAACTCCTGATCTCAAGTGATCCACCCACCTTGGCCTCCCTAAGTGCTAGGATTACAGGTGTGAGCCACCGTGCCTGGCCTATGTGATGCATTTTCTAAATGACTTGGCCACAAAGTAATTTCATTCAAAGTATCTCATAGAACTAAGCCCACCATGGAATCCACTTCAGGAAACAACATACTAATTATCTCTCAGAGTTACACACCTGTTTGTAGGCAATTTCACCCACTACCATGTTTCAATAACTATCTATTAGCTGCTGATGACCAAATTTATATCTCCAGTTGAATTATTTCTCTCTTGAGCTACAGACATGTCTTTTGGACATCACCATTTAAATGTCCTGCAAGCAACTAAAAGAATCTATATGTCAAAACTTGGACTCAACATTTCCATGTATGCATCCCTCCACTACACACACACTACCACCACCAGCACATATGCTAATATGACCTTCCCCTCAAATACTTCCTATATCAGGAAATAGTGCTACTAAAAGGCCAGTTGTTTAAACAAGAAATCTGGGAGAAATGTTTGAGTCCTTTTTCCTCTTCACCACCCTTACCATTCACCAAAACCTGATATTATTGCCTCTGAAATATCCCTTAATTCAATTCCATTTTCCCAAACCCTACCACCCTGGTTTAAGCAATGGCCCCTAACACGTCTCCTTGTCTCCAGTCTTGCTTCCTCCCAGCCCATTCTCCATGACATAGACAGAGGATTTTTGCAAATCGGATCATGTAATAACCCACTTAAAACCCTTCAGTGGCCCCCTTTGATTTTAGAATGAATCCAAACTCCTTACCCTGGCTCAGAGTTTCCTGGTACTACTGCCATTTTTCTCCTTGACCACTTTCAGGCATTACTGAGCTTCTGTCAGCTCCCCATAGGTATCTCATAGGTGCCATGCTGTCCACTCCCTGCCATTGCCCATGCTGGTTTCTCTGGATCAATCTGCCCCTTCTCCTCTTCTCTCTTTTCCCTTTCTGTATCTCTTTGCCTGGCTTACTCCTGCATATCCCCTCAGTCCTAGCCTAAACCTCAATTCTTCATGAGTACCTTCCTTGACTCTCTGACAAAGGGAGGTTAGCAAAGCTGCCATTGCAGCCCCTACCATAACACTCATCAAACATTATTGCCACGATTGTTTGTGTTCTCTTTCTCCTGCTACAACACAAATTCTATAAATGCAGAGACTTTGCCTTTCAGAATACCCACTCTATCTGCAAGGTCTAGCTAGCACAATGGCTGGTTGAGAGACAAGCTCAATAGCTATTTGCCGATTTGGTAGGTGATTCCTGAAAGCCCTTACAGTTCTAAAGCTGATGAGTTTATCAGTGACCCAGGCCAACTATATGTTATAAAAATTCAGAGAAAACAAAGGTAGCAAAATGTAGCCTAATGTGATTTACCAATGAAAATCATGCCTCCTCTGATTTCAAACTGTATCTATATACTGCCATTAAACAATACTAACAGTGACCTCAAAAGCAAAGTGCTTTGGGGTTGTTTTGTACAGTATTTTGATGAGGTTAAATGTGAAAAATGAAAAAAATTCTATAAAACAGAGAATAAGCATTTAAATATCAATGTCCAGATGATTCCATTTACATGAAGTCCAAACATGGGCAAAAGAAAGCTAAAGTGATAAAAATCAGAAAGTGGTTGCCTCACTGGGGAAGAGCAGGATGGCTAGAAAGGGTCAGGAAGGTGCTTTCTATGGTGATGTAAATGTTGTTTTGAGTGTTTATGTGGATTTATACAATTGTCAAAACCCATGGCACTGAAACTCCCGAGATATATATCCATTCTATTTTATGTAAAGTATACTTCAATAAATATGAAGATTTCAGTGGCTTGATACCAGGTAATTCAGGTACCTTTAAATAAAAGAAGATATGCTATTTACTGATCCAATATAAATTATTGCTGAACTAATCATTTTGATTAATGAATCCGATGAATCACCTGAAATTCTGCTGTCATGAATCAGTTATCTTCTCACGGTTTTAAGTGCCAATAAAACTCAAACAAGTCAGATCAGTACATGCCTAATAAAAAGTAAACACACATGTAAATCTTAACACTGTAAGGTAAGATTATTCAGGACAAATATTTCATCTTCAAGGCAAAGCCTAGGTTGGCTCAAGAACCACAATGTGATGCTGCTATAGCTGCATTTTCACCAGTACAGTAAGAGAAGGTCTAGGAATTCCAGACAGAATCAGAATTTCATGTGTATGCCCCTACATCACGCTGTGTGATATATTTGGCAAAATATCCTTATTTTGTTTTTTGTTACAGCCTTTTAACCGGTATCACAATCGTATTTTTCTTTTTTGTTCTTGAATATACTGGGTTTGGAAGAATTCAAAATAAAGAGCAGTTTGGAGAGTCTCAAAGAATTAAAAATAGAATTACCACTCAACCCAGCAATTCCACTACTGGATATAAACCCAAAGGAAAGCAAATCATTCCACCCAAAAGACACCTGCAGTCTTGTGTTTATTATAGCACTATTCACAATAGCAAAGACACAAAATCAACCCAAGTGCCCATCAATGGTGGATTGGATAAAGAAAATGTGGTACATATATACCATATAGTACTACACAGTCATAAAAAAAGAGCAAAGTCATGTTCTTTGCAGCAACATGAATATAGCTGGAGGCCATTATTCTAACCAAGTTAACACAGAAACAGAAAATTAAATGCTGCACGTTCTCACTTGTAAGTGGGAGTTGAACCCTGAGTACACACAAACACAAAGATAAAAACAATAGACACTGGAGACCCCAAAAGGAGGGAGGGAGGAAAGGAGGAAGGGCTGAAAACTACCCTATGTTTACTACTTGGGTGACAGGGTTATCAGAAGTCCAAACCTCAGCATCACACAGTATGCCCAGGTAACAAACGTGCACATGTACCCCTGAATCTAAAATTAAGAAAAAAAGTAAAGAAGAAAATTAAATTCGGTTGGAAATAGTACATATTTTCTTCTTATGTGTGCAACAGTATCTGCGTTGAAGAATGCAGATTTAAAAAGAGAAGATTTGAGGGAGGAAAGTCCTGTGTGGATGGCCTTTAAGACAGTCTACAAATGATATATTCCCGATTGAGCCTGAGCAGGTCCTGAAGGCCAAGTAGGTTACATGAAGAGGTGGCCAAAATGTCCACTGTCCCCACTCCTGCTACACTGCCTTCTCTTTCTCAGACTGCACCTACGGCCTTATGGAGCATTCACCACAATCAGTTGACAGAGGAAAAGAAGACTCATCTAGTTTTCAGATGGTTATGTACAATATGCAGGCACCATCTGAAAGTGGACAGCTGCAGCACTAATATCCCTTTCTGGGACATCCCTGAAGGACAGTTGTAAAGGAGAATCCTCCCAGTGGGCAGAACTTCAAGCAGTGCACTTAATTGTTCACTTTGCTTAGAAGAAGAAATGGTCAGATGTGAGACCATATATCAATTTATGGGCTGTGGCGAATGGTTTGGCTGCATAGTCTGAGACTTGGAATGAATATGATTGAAAAACTGATGACAAGGAAATTTGAGGAATTGGTATGTGGATATACCTCTCTGAATGGTCAAAAAATGTGAAGATACATGCGTTCCGTGTGAATACTCAGCAAAGGGTGACCTCAGCAGAGGAAGATTTAATAAAGTAGATAGGATGGCCTGTTCTGTGAATACCAATCAGTCTCTTTGCCCAGACATCCTTGTCATCACCCAATGGGTTCATGAACAAAGTGGCCACAGTGGCAGGGTTGGAGGTTATGCATGAACTTAGCAACATGGACTTCTGCTCATCAAGGCTGACCTAGCTAAAGCCACTGCTGAGCACTCAATCTGCCAGCAGCACAGACCAAATACTGTATAGTACCATTTCTCAGGGGATTAGCTAGCTACATGGTGACAAGTTGATTACATGGAACTGCTTCCATCATGAAAAGGACAGCCTTTTGTTCTTACTGGAAAAGACACTTACCCTGCCTACCAATTTACCTTCCCTGTACACAATGCTTCTGCCAAAGCTACCATCCATGAACTTGTATGAAATTATAGAATATCTTATCTACAGTCATGATGTTTCAGACAGCATTTCTTCTGGTTAAGGAAATCATTTCATAGCAAAAAAAAAAAAAGTGTGGCAATGGGTCCATACTTACAAGATTCACTGGTCTTATCATGTTCCCAACCATCCTGAAACAGAGCTGGTTTGATAGAACAATGGAATGACCTTTTGAAGACTCAGTGACAGTGCCAGCTAGGTAGCAATACCTTGCAGGGCTGGCACAAGGTTCTCCAAAGGGCTATATATGCTCTGAATTTGTGTCCCACCTATGGTTCTCTTTCTCCAATAGCCAGAATTCAAGAGCCCAGCAATCAAGGGGTAGAACTGGAAGTGGCACCATTCGCTACTACTTCTAATGACCCACTAGCAAAACTTTTCCTTCCTGTTCTTGCAAATGTATGCTGTGCTGGCCTAGAAGTCTTGATCCCAAAGGAAGGAATGCTTCTACCAGAAGACACAACAATGAGTCCACTGGACTAGAAGACTGCCTTCCAACCATTTTGGCTTCCTTATGCCTCTGAACTAACAGGCAAAGAAGAGAGTTACTGTGCTGGTAGGGGTGATTTATCCTGACTACCAAAGGGAAATTGGACTATTTCTCCACAATGGAGGTAAGGGCAGTCTCTTACCTGTCTAGAATATAGGCAATCCCTTAGGATATCTTTTGGAATTACCATGCCCTGTTATTAGGTCAATGGAAAACTACAACAGCCCAATCCAGGTGGCACTACTGATGACCTAGACCCTCCATGAATGAATATTTGGGTCATCCCATCAGACAAAGAACCATGAAACACTGAGGTGCTTGCTGAAAGCAAAGGTAATAGAAACTGGGCACAATGGAAGAAGAAGTTATAAATAGTGGTCTATGTGACCAGTTACAGAAATGAAGACTGTGATTGTCACGAATATTTCCCTTTATGTTGTTATAAATGTATCTGTCCATATATATGTGTGTGTGTATAGCAAACATTCTTGTTTTCTTTCTTATTCCTTTATATAAAAAGATATATTGGCTTTTTATAGTATTTAAGTATTGTTAATTTTATATCATGGTGTTTAAGTTATGGGATATCAAAGAAAAGAGTCAACATCACTTCAGGACTTCACCTCCTCTTCTGGGAAAGGGGTTGGTGCATTTTCAGTTGTATGCAGGATAGTTGTATCATGTTAGGCAGAATTATGACTTTGTTATTGTCTTTATTCAGAGATTGTGTCTGGTTTTAGAAGATGTGTATGGGTGCCAAGTTGACAAGGAGTGAACTCTTACTGGTTATTTTTACATATCAATTTGACTGGACCATGGGGTGCCCAGACAGCTGGTCAAACATTACTCTGGGTGTGTCTGTGAGGGAGTTTCAGAATGAGATTAACATTGAAATCAATAGACTGAGTAAAGGAGCTTGCCCTCCTTAACGTGAGTAACCCACACCCCTTCAGTTGAAGGCCTAAGTGGAACAAAAGGGCTGACCCTCCAACAAATAATAAGGAACTCTTTTCTTCCTGATTGTCTTAAAGATACAACCTAAAAGTCACATATTTCATTTCCATCACACAATATTGGCTCAGACTAAGCCACAGGGCCATAATTAGCTACAAGGAAGAACAGGCAGTTAAGTCTTAGGAGAGTCTCTTACTAAAGGATGAATGAAAGAGAAGATATTGAGGAACAATTAGCCGTCTCTATCCTCTGCCATCTTTGATACTATTTAAGCCTCAAAGAAAAGATGTAATTTTAGAAAACTCATTCCATCCCCCTGAGGAATAGAACATTACAGCTGTTTAAATATCAAATGTTTTCTTAAAAGGAAAATTTCATCATTAGCAATAGGACCTGGGAAAATTCATTTGCTCTCACTGCGCTTCACCTTTCTTTTCTATAACATGAGAATGAAAATGCCAATCCAGTTCTCAGACTTAGATACATGACACAATGTACATAAAGATACTTTGCAGTTATCAAAACATTGTAAAGGATTAATCAGCTGCCTGAGAAGAAAATACAAAACCACCTTTCTCTTTTTTGTACTATTATCTTTCTTAAGAACACTGAGAAACAAAAATTTAGACTGCCAATCCTAGTCAACATTTTCTGCAGGGCAGTATTTTGTCATTCATTTGTTTAACATATATTTATGGGATGGCTGTTATTTTCAAGCACTGAAGTCAAATATTAATTAGTTATATCCTCATATCAAAGGAGATCACATCCTAAAGAGGGATATGCATAGACAAAGTATTATCAAAAATCTTATAATATAGATTTCTTAAATGGCTGAATTAAGGTATAAGTAACATGAGGTGAACATTACACATTTATATTGCACAATTTGTTAAGTTTTGACATATGTATACACCCGTGAAACTATCACCAAAATGAAAATAATGGTTATATTCAGTACCCTCAAAAGCTTCCTAGTTCCATGTTCATTGTAGCATTATTCACAATAGCCAATATATGGAATCAACCTTAATATCTAATAATGGGTGAATGAATAGGGAAAATGTGGTATATATACAAAATAGAATACTATTCTGACTTCCCAGTGGAGGAAAACCTGTCATTTGCAACAACATGGACAAACATAGAGGATATTATGCTAAGTGAAATAAGTCAGGCACAGAAAAACAAATCTAAAAAAACTTAAAAAGTCAAATTTATAGAAGCAGAGAGTAGAACAGTGGTTATAAAGGGCTGGGAGAAGAGAGAAATTGGGGAGATGTTGGTTAAAGAATACAAAATTTCAGTTAGACAAGAGGAGAAGTTCAAAGGAGTCTAACGTACAACATGGTGACTATAATTAATATATTACATATTTGTAAATTGCTAAGAGATAGGTTTTAAGTGTTCTCACCGCGAAAAAATAAGTAGGTAAGGTAATGCATATGTTAATCACCTTAATTTAGCCATTCCACATTGTATACATATATCAAAATATCATGTTGTACACCATAAATACTATCCATACCATATATATAATTTTTATTTGTCAATTAAAAAGTAAATTAAAAAATTATAAAGTTTTCTTGTGTTCCTTTGCAGTTCCTCCCTCCTGCCCTTCCCATCTCTTGCCCCCAAGTAACCTCTGATTTACTCTTTGTTATTACAAATTTGATTATATTTTCTAGAAATGTATATAAATTGAGTCACATAAAATGTACTTTTTTGTCCTTAAGTATTTCATATTTTTGGATACTCTTGGCACTAATATAATTTTCACTTCAATTTCTAATTGTTCATTGCTATCATATAGAAATAAAATCGATATTTATATGTCCATCTTATCTCATTCAACCTTGCTAAACTCAATCATTGGTTCTAGTAACTTATTCATAGGATCCATTGGATTTTCTTCATAGACACTCATGTCATCTGTAAATAAAAACTGTTTTACTTTTGCCTTTCCAATGAAAATGCCATTTATTATTTTTTCCTTGTCGTCTTACTGCACTGCCTAGAAGCTCCACTACAATGTTGAATAGAAGCCATGAGAACAGACATCCTTGTATGTTGTTCCCTATCTTAGGAGGAAATCATTCAGTCTTTCACATTAATTGTGATGTTACCTGTAGGGTTTTTTTGTTGCCCTGTATTAGCTTGAGGTTGTTCCCTTGTATTTTTAGTTTGTAGAGAGTTTGTCATGAGTGGGTGTTGGATTTTATCAAACACTTTTTCTTATGACAATTATATACCTTTTCTTTTTCAGTTTGTTAATATGGTGAATTACATTGATTGATTTTTGGAATGTTAAGCCAACTCTGCATTCCTAGGGTAAACCTCACTTGGTCATGACATACTATGTTTTTTTATACATTGTTACATTGTGTTGCTGAAATTTTGTTCAGAATTTTTGCATCTATGTTCATGAAGGAAATGGTTTGTAGGGTTTTTTTTCTTATAATGTCTTTGTCTGATTTTGATATCAAGATAAACTGACCTCATAAGATTATATATTCACCCCTTTTCAATTTTCTGAAAGAGTGTGTGTAAAATTGTTATTAATTCTTTCTTAATATTTGATAAAAACACACTAGTGGAACCACCTGGCGTGGCATTTTCTTTGTAGGAAGATGTTTAATTACAAATTCTTTTTTTTAGTGATATAGTTATTCAGGTTAACTATTTCTTCTTAAATGAGCTTTGGTAATTGGTGTCTTTCAAAAAGTTTGTATGTTTCATCTAAATTGTCAACTTTATTGGCATAAAGTTGTTTATTATATTCCCTGATTATCATAATAATGTCTTTTAAATCTCTACTGATGTTACCTCTCTCTTTCCTGATAGTGATAATCGTGCCTTCTCTCCTTTTTTTCTATCAATCTGACTAGAGATTTATCAAATTTTTTACTTCAAAAAGCCAGCTTTTGGTTCCAATGATTTTCTCTGTTGTTTTTCTGTCTTCTAGATAATTCATTTTCATTCTGATCTTTACTATTTCCTTTCTTTTACTTACTTTAGGTATAATTTGCTCCTGTTTTTCTAATTAAAGGGCAAGCAGGGGTCATTAAGTTGAGATCTTTATTCTTTTCTAACGTAGGAATTTAGTGCTATAATTTCCTTCCAAATACTGCTTTAGTGTCATCCGTGAATTTTGATGTGCCATGTTGGTGTTTTCATTCAACTCAAAACATTTTCTAATTTCCCTTTTCGATGTATCTGTAAATATGATTAGCTCATATTTACAAATGTGTTATTTGATTTCTAAATATTTAGGTGTTTTCCATAGATCTTTCTACTATTGATGCTGGTAGACATTATGGATTTTACCTTGTTTAATATGTTTGCTTTCCTATAAATATTCTCAAGCTTTGTTCTGGGACACAGTTTGCTCCTTTTGGATTGTCTTTTAAGATTTTTTAGGTAATGCTCACTCTAGAGCTAATTATTTCCCACTACAGATGGGAAGCCTTTCTGTGTACTCTACCTAATCTGTGAATCATGAGGTTGTCCAGTCTGGCTGGTGGAAACACTCTCAGCCCTGTGTGAGTGCCAGGCACTATTACCTCTAAACCTTTTGAGTGATTCTTTCCCTAACCTCCAGTACTTTCCTGATCAGTCCTCGGTTGGATACTCAAGAGAGGTGCTTTGCTGATCTCTGGAATTCTCCCTCCGTGCAGCTCCCTTGTCTCTGGTCCTGAGAACTCTAGCCACCTTGGTGTTCTTGACTCTTAGCTGTGTATTCTCCATCCAGGGAGTCCCCTGGGCTTCACCTTGGGTCTCCCGCCCTGTGCAACAGCCTGGAAATACTCTCAAGGCTGTATGGTAGGACAGTCAGAGGGCTTACCTCATTTATTTCATGTCTCTCAGGAATCATTATCCTTTGTTGCCTAATTCCCTTAAAAGTGTTGTTTCATGTATTTTGTCCATATGTTGGTTGTGTCATGCAGGAGGGTAAACCTGGTATGAATATTAGAAAGTCTACATAGATATTACCCCTTCTAGACGGGAAGCAGAAATTTCTATTATATACATTTGAATAAACTGTTATAGGGATGCAAAGATGGGAAAAACTTACAACCTGGAAAATTTTTATAACACTTGGCAAAGGAAATAAAATTGGATTATTTATGTATGAGGGGAATTTTCCGAGTTATGAAAGATGGAATCATGGAAGGATGTGATTGATTCTGGAAATATTGAGTAGATCAAGGAGATCAAGTGAAGGTGTGGATTAGAATGGTAGACAGTTATTCTGGAAAAGAAGACCAAGTCTAGAATGTTGAACATTTGTATGTCTAACTAAGGCATGTGGAGTTTTACCATGTAATAATATACCAGATAACAATGTATTTAAGTGGTTAGAATGGTGGCTGGCACCTACTAAATATAAATAAGTGGTAGCTATCCTATTCCTTAAAATCCCTGACAATAGATATTCTTTTCTTTTAATGTTATTCTATTTTTAGTATTCTAGATGCTAAGCTCCATGAGGATAGGAACTGTATTTTTCTTCTTCAATGTATGTTCAGCATGCAGTAGATCTAGCACATTAGTATTTAGTTGTACTCAATAATAATATCAAGTAAATGAATAAACAATAATAAGTTGACAAATATTCAAATATTTTTACATAGTAAAATGATATGATGGCCTTTCCTTTTTAGACAGAATGGAGAAAAATACTTAAGTAGATGTGGTGCCTTTAAGAACAGAGAGACAGCCTTATACACACATAATGGAATAAAATGAAGGTATAGCAATATTTAGAGTGGCTGCAATTTAGAGTCAATCAAAGACACCAATCCTCAGGTTCACAAGTCTACTAATCCCTTTCATGATAAATAAAAAAGAATCCACACTTTGACTCACCAGAATGAAACTATAAAATACCACGGACAATGGACACATCTTAAAATGAACAAAAAAGCAAAAGTAAAAGTTGTAAAAAGAGCAAAACATGTATTGCCTACAAAAGAACAGCAATTATATTAACTGCTGACTTATCAATGCAATAATAGAAGCAAGAAAATAGGAGAATGACTGTTAACCTAGAATTCCCAGTGAAACATGCAAGACTTTTTAGACACAGGAAAAATAAGAAAATATATCTATGATAAAACTACTATAGTAGAAATTATAAGGATGTTTTTTAGGAACAGAAACGATGATCACAAAAGGAAGGTGTGAGATAAAAGAAGAAATGGTAAACAAATATTGCCAAATATGTGAATAAATTTGAACAATTATTCACTACATAAAGTAGAATAACAGTGTCTAACTTAGGAAAGGGGGAAAATATTGATCCCAGAAAAGGGATGATTAGAGTTCATCCTCCCAAGATCATTGCATTCTTTTGAGGATGGTATAAGTATCGATTAACTCTAAATTTTGTTGAAATGTATAGTTAACCACTAAAATAACAGGAATAGATTTGGAAATAGTAAGAGAATAATTTTTTTAAAAAAAGCCTTCAAACAAACCAAAGTATGTCAAGAAGGGAGCAGAACGTTAAAAACAATTTTTAATAAGATGGCCAAATAGGAATACCTCCGGTCTGTAGCTCCCAGCGAGATCGATGCAGAAGGCGGGTGATTTCTGCATTTCCAACTGAGGTACCTGGTTCATCTCATTGGGACTGGTTGGACAGTGGGTGCAGCCCATGGAAGTGCAAGTCAAAGCAGGGTGGGGCATTGCCTCACCCATGAAGCCCAAGGGGTCGAGGAATTCCCACCCCTATCCAAGGGAAGCTGTGAGGGACTGTGCCGTGAGGAATGGTGCACTCCAGCCCGGATACTGTGCTTTTCCCATGGTCTTCACAACCTGCAGTCCAGGAGATTCCCACCGGTGCCTACGTCACCAGGGCCCTGGGTTTCAAGCACAAAACTGGGCAGCTATTTGGACAGACACTGAGCTAGCTGCAGGAGTATTTTTTTTCATACTTAAGTATTTTTCTCCACTTCTAAAGTACGTTCATTAAGTGAAAGGCTCTCTGTAAATCCATTTATCTCTTTTCTTCAGCTTTTAATATTTAAAGTTGATTAGAGTTTTTAGTAGAAAGCATGGTACAAGATGGTACAGATGTCTTTGAGCATAATAGTCATCAGAATTAAAGTGGATTAAAATCAGTTAAAAAAACAATTATTAACAGACTTGGCTCTTTAAAAACTCAGCTCTATGCTATTTACAAGAGAGATATCTAAAATTTTGAAAGCAACAAATTTTGAAAGCAAAATTTTGAAAGACAACAAATTTTGAAAGCAAAGGAATGTATAATGTTTCATCAAATATTAACCAAAAGAAAACTGATGATAGTATCAGAGAAAGATGACTTTATGGCAAAAAGCATTGCTAGAAATAGAAATGAAGGAAGGTTTAATTCTCCCGAAATAATTTTAAACTTGTAAACATTTAATCACATTTTTAAAATATGTGAGGAGAAATTGACAAAATAATTCATAGACATATAGATTTGAACAGAATTAAGTTTGATTTAATGAACATAAAGAAATTCATGTCCATCAACTGGACAATATATTATCTTCAAATACATAAGGAATATTTTCAAAAACTGACCACATAACTTGAGTTTTATAAAGCAAATCTCATTGCATTTCAAAGAATCAGTAAAAAAAAAACAAAACAAAACCCATACAGTTGGGAATTTTAAAAGAGTTTTTAAAATAAGGCATGAGTCAAAGAAGAAAATATGATAGAAATTAGAAAGCTTTAAAACTGAATGGTTAAAAAATACTAGACAGAAAAACACATGAAATACAGCTAAAGTAATACTAGAAAAAAATCTGTAAGTTTAAGAGCTTACATTACAAAAGAAGAGGTAAAAGTTAAAGGGCCAAGTATTCAATATAAGAAATTGTAAAAATAGCAATAAAATAAACCAAAAATAGAAAATAACTTAAAATTAATGAAAATAGTAGGTAGTAAATTAAATAATAAATTTAAAATAATAAAAATTAATAAAAAGGATCAATAAATCCAAACCCAGTTCTTTAAAAAAATATTAAAAATTGGCAATCTCAGAGATGGATCTTGAAAAATACAGTGAGTGTAAAGTAGTTAACATGAGAAATGGAACAGGGAGACTACTAAATATGAAATAGAAATTTTAAAAATAGATTAAGAGGAAAATATTATCATTAACTTGACCCTAAAGGATCCCAAATTTTATCAGAGAGCAGAGGGGTTTGAGATAATACCTCCCCTTTGAAATGCCCTTTGAGAAGATGGCATGGCCTATGTTTACCCAACCAGAGAACCAGTGACCAGATCATCCAGTCTTTCCCCGCGAACAATGTTCAGTGGAATTCCTACAGACCATGGCACCTACCCACAGTAGTAACTTTGTTCTCAAGAGCATACTCAAGTCTTCACTATTTCATCAATGTCATAACTGCCCAAAAGAAAACCAAAGAAAAACATTGCCTTCTCTTAAAAATGATCAGGCGGAGTAATGAGGCAGCAACTTTACAATAATGGTCATTATCCTACTTATAGACATAGAGCTAGAGATGGAGTTGGAGAAAGATAATTAGTGAGATTAATGTTTGTTCTTTCTGCCAGTTTTTTGTTTCCTTCTCTCTCTCCTTTTTTTTTTTTTTTGGTTTGACAAATATGCTGTTAAGCCAAAAAGTAATTTATAAATTAATATGATTCCATTCTAATGGAAACAGTTAAAATTACAGCCCAGTTTATATTACTTTTACTGGAAAATAGGTCATTGTTTAAACTGTATTTATTTCCTTCCAAACAAAGTATTGTGAAGTTGCTTGGTTAAATTTTTATTAGGTTAAAAACACATTATCTATTCAAAAAAATACATGGGTAAATCTTCTCTAAAAAACTCTAACAAGCTTTAAATAGTGAAAGCTGAAGAAAAGAGACAAATGGATTTACACAGAGCCTTTCGCTTAATGAACGTATTTTAGAAGTTTATACACATGTATCTTGAAGTGGCAAGCAACCTTCTTCCTTTCAGATGCAAGTCTACCATGAAGCCATGGGAGCTTCATGGGCAGGTGGGTTTCTTGGGATCTCTGATATAAACAATATCTAAAGTAGCTCAGTTCATCGATTACAGTAAACATAGCATGGAGGCAAGTGGGATAGAGGGACAGGAGGCCACAACACAGGTATGCCCTGGGAAACAGTGTCATGCAAATTCCAAAGACATTTCAAAATGCCTTGAAAGTTTTAAAAGATTCTCAAGAATCAGACTTTCCATCCACCAATAGATTATATTACTGAAATAAATCCCAAAACTGCAATTTGAAAAAAAATGCATTCTTACACACGACTTCCTAAATTTCCATCTGTCTATTTTCCATCACTTTAAACATGGATTTTTAAAAATATTCAGGCCGGGCGCAGTAGCTCACGCCTGTAATCCCAGCACTTTGGGAGGCCGAGTGGGGCGGATCACCTGAGGTCGGGAGTTCGAGACAAGCCTGACCAACATGGAGAAACCCCATCTCTATTAAAAATACATAATTAGCCAGGTGTGGTGGCACATGCCTGTAATCCCAGCTACTCAGGAGGCTGAGGCAGGAGAATCACTCGAACCCAGGAGATGGAGGTTGTGGTGAGCTGAGATTGTGCCATTGCACTCCAGCCTGGGCAACAAGAGTGAAACTCCATCTCAAAAAAAAAAAAATATTCCACACCAACCAAAGGAAATCAGTAAGCACTCTGAGTTCAATATCTGTGCTGAAACGCCTACAGGCGGTCACAGTCTTTGACATCTCAGGTGCGTGATTGATCTATTCTTAGATATATTTACCGTATTCACCCTTCACCCACCCCAAAAACAATCACTTTTGCCACTGAGCAGTGGTGGCTGAAAAGCAGTGTGGTAGAAGCCTCTAGAGCAGCGTTCCCCAACCTTTTTGGAACCAGGGACTGGTTTTCCAGAAGACAGTTTTTCCACAGACAGTGTGTGGGGGGATGGTTTCAGGATGAAACTGTTCCACCTCAAATCATCAGGCGTGAATTAGACTCTCATAAGGAGAGCACAACCTAGATCCCTTTGTTCACAGTTCACAATAGGGTGTGTACCCCTATAAGAATCTAATGCCTCACTGATCTGACAGGAGGCGGAACTCAGGTAGTAATGCTGGCTCGCCTGCCACTCACCTCCTGGTGTGTGGCCTGGTTCCTAACAGGTCACAGACCAGTCCAATCCACTGCACTGGGATTGGGAACCCCTGCCATAGAGGAATGGAGAGTACTGCTCCAAGAGGTTATCTGTGTCCTGCCAGGACTCCCATCTACAGGACGGTAGATTAAGTGTCATGATAGAGAAGGCACAGGTGTGATAGAGGTGCAGCAAGGGCAGCACGTGCATCAGACAAGAAGACAACTTTACCTACTGAGGATTGGGCTGACGAAGTTGAAGAGGGAAAAATTCTTGCTGAATCTATCAACTCCAACCTTGAGCCCACAAAGAGTTCCTTTGAATGCCCTCCCTTCTAGCCAGTCTTTAGGAATCACTCCTGATCCCAGCACCTTCCCCCAAATACTGCTCCACCAGACCCAGCTAACTTCTGTATTTTTAGTAGAGAAGGGGTTTCACTATGCTGCCCAGACTGGGAACTCCTGGGCTCAAGCGATCCTCTTGCCTCGGCCTCCCAAACTGCTGGGATTACAGGTGTGAGCCACAGCACCCAGCCAGGTTTGGTGTTCTTTGGACATTTTACCAAGAGCCTTTTTGTCTTTTTTCTCAGCAAATTACATGGGTGGGAAAGGATGGGGGAGGGGCCCAGTAGCTGCTTCCTCTTGGCATCTCCAGCATTCATCTGATTCATTGCCTGCCCCTGCCAGCAGGGTGAGGATGGATGACATTCTTTGCCTACCATTTGCGCATAATTATAATGGCTGTTGCTAATTGTTTTTCGCATCTTCATATCTGGTTTGTATTTTAAGCAGAAGGGAAGATGTGACTCACCTGAAAAAAATCAGCAGTCTGTGTGCCTCTGATTCACCCCAGAATTTTACCCTCCAAATGCTATTGCTATTTTTGTTTCCCAGAATGTGTTCTAACAGTAAACATAGTTTAGACCCAGACAAAGATTAGGTTGTCATAAACTATATAAATTAATTTCAGGAAGGCTGATGGTTGTGTTTGACTATAAGAAGTATTAATCGGCAAGATGTGGTGGCTAATGCCTGTAAGCCAAGCACTTTGGGAGGCCAAGGCTGGCAGATCGCTTGATCTCAGGAGTTCCAGACCAGACTGGACAACATAGTGAAACCCCATCTCTACAAAAAAAAAAATACAAAAAATCGCTGGGCATGGTGGGGTCCGCCTGTTGTCCCAGATACTCGGGAGGCTGAGGTGGAAGGATAACCTGAGCCTGGAGAAGTCGAGGCTATAGTGAGCCATGATTGTGCCACCACACTCCAACCTGGGTAACAGAGTGAGACTCTGGCTCAGAAAAAAAAAAAAAAAAAAAAAAAGTACTAATAGATAGGCTCAATGTTTCAAACCATGTACCCATCCAGAAAATTCTATCATTGATAAGCCTTTACCCCCGACTCAGAAACAAAAGAGAAATAAATTGAGAGATTGCATTATTTAAAATAAATGGGTTTAGAAATAAATTATTATACTTTAATTATAATTCGTGGAAATGTTTTATTAAGAATTTAAAGACACACCCATTAGGATGGCTATTATTTTAAAATAAAAAGAGAAAATAAGTTTTGTCAAGGACATGGAGAAATTAGAACCCTTGTCCATGTTCATGAGAATATAAAATTGTGTAGCCACAGTGAAAAAGTTTGGTGATGCCTCCAAAAGTTAAACCTAGAATTACCATATGATCCAGCTATTCCATTTCTAGATATATACCCTGAAGAGCTGAAAGCAGGGACTCAAACAGATTCTTGTACATCAATGTTCATAGCAGCATTTTTCACTACAGCCAAAAGGGAGACACAAGCCAAATGTCCATCAACAGATGAATGGACAAGAAAAATGTGATTATCTACATACAGTCTTCAAAGGGAATGGAATTCTGGCACATGCTATAATATGGATGAACTTTGAAAACATTACATGAAATGAAATAACGAGACACAAAAGGGCAAATGTTGCATGATTACACTTATAGCAGGCACCCAGAACAGTAAAATTAATAGAGTTTTTTTTTAAAAAAGAGAGGTTATCAGGTGCTGGGGGTAAAGGGGAATGGGAAGCTATCATTTAGTGGGGACAGTTTCTATTTGAGATGATGAAAAAGTTCCAGAACTGGATCACGGTAATGGTTGTGCACAACATTGTGAATGTACTTAACGTTGCTGAATTGCACACTTAAAAATAGTTACATTGCTGGATTTAATATTATGTATATCTTACAACAATTTTAAAAATTAAATATATAAAGAAGTGCAATGCAATTTATTCAAAATGAAGTAAAATGCCACGTACATAAATAATTTCTTCATTTGTTGCATAGAGAAAGGACCTGGGAAGCAAGTTGGAGAAGCTCAGGCTACAGATATTCTAGCCTGAGGCTGTGGACTGTGTAAGGCCAAATCACCGCTTCAGAAGATCAGTCAAAACCACAACAATGGCACATTAAAAAAAAGTAATAATTTGATTGAGTAAATATTTTACTCTTCAGGCAATTGTCTTAAATGTACAGCTTAAGAACTGAGAAATTTGGCCGGGTGCAGTGGCTCATGCCTGTAATACAAGCACTTTGGGAGGCTGAGGCTGGTGGATCACTTGAGTCCAGAAGTTCAAGACCAGCCTGGGTGCCATGGTGAAACCCCATCTCTACCAAAATACAAAAATTATCTGGGCATGGTAGTGCATGCCTGTAGTCCTAACTACTTGGAAGGCTGAGGCAGGAAGATCACTTAGCCCAGGAGGCAGAGGTTGCAATGGGCCAAAATTGCACCACTGCATTCCAGCCTGGACAACAGAGGGAGACCCCATCTCAAAAGAAATGAAGAAGAATTGAGAAATTTATGCTCTTACTCTGAGACACGGCCAATTACTCCACCTTTATGCTTTTCCCTCACAGTGACTCAGTTAGCGAACACTGTAGTTGATTTATTAAACTATTTTATTTTTGTCACTTATAGGTACAAATACAACCTCCTAAGTCAATATACAAATATATTTTGCAGAAAAGTATCAGACCATAGATCCATAGTTACTAGCTACACCACCTCCCTAGAGCCTCAGTTTCCAAATCTGTAAGATGGGGATACATATGCTGATACAACAGAATCAACCTAAGAAGGAAGTAATGGGAAAATACCACCTCTGACACATTAGGAGGACCCTAAAATTTTATTATTACATGAAGGAGTGAATATAAATAAAGCAACTAAGAGAAAATAGGGAAAGACAAATGTCAGAACTTTCTTCAGGCAACTGTATTCAACATGTCATCAACACAAGATTTCATATGATCTGTGGAAGCTTTTACACAAAATGGGTGTGGAGATTTACAAGATTGAGCCTGAAAATAACTGATGCGCTCAGACATCCTGTATGTTGTACTAATTCTAAAATAATCAAAGCAAAAATAAACAAAATGACACCCGTAAGATATACAGACAAGATGATACAGGAGAAACCATACATAATTGGATAATAACTGCCATGACTATGAAGAGCATGCAATTGTGAATCATAAAACACTTGTTTGCTGTGGTTTTTTTTTTTTTTTGGTCCCTTTCATGGAAAAAAAGAAAGTTTGTTTTTCTTCAAAATAAAAACACTGGTTTGTAGGTTTGAATTGATTTTTTTTTTTTTTTTTTTTTTTTTTGCTTTTTGTAAAAAGGTCAGAGTGACTATTAACCCAAGTATAAAACAATAATAGTTTCCGGCATGGGAAATTTGATTTTTAAACAGAAGGAAACAAAAAAAGACCACCTTGAATCACTGAAGACAAAATAAAGAAAACAGTACATGCTTCCAACTTGCATGTTATAAAGAATTTTGATCACTTTGGAATTAGCGCTGGAGAAAACATTATGTGAATGTTTGTTTTCCTGACACTTTAAAAGTTATTTCTTATTTCCAAATAAGAAAGGAACATACTTCCCCAGAAAAAAAATTTTAAATAGAAAGTTAAATGATCTTTGGATTGTTGAACAGGAACTTGACTAAACTCTGCTGGTTCTCTAATTTAAACTACATGAAACTTAAGGTTGCATAATGGTAATGATAACATGAGCAGTGCCAGAGAAACAATATTTTGCTTGGATCCATGGCAATGTCACAGTCGTCACACGTATGGAACAAGCCTCTGGAACATTAGGTCATGTTTACCTCATCAGGTAAAATTCAGGAAGGATAACTGCAGATCGTTGTAGTCTGGGAGTTAATGAATTTATTTTAAACTCACTTCTCACCCTTCTAAATAATAAATGTAGTCCTGAGCTCTAAATTACATTTTCTCAAGAATCCATGTTTTCTTTAATTTTAATATATTTGCAGTGATGAATCATGTCAGTTATTCTGAAATGATGAAATAGCTTCATTTTCTCTATATAATCGTCATCTACCTTGATGACTCTGGAGGAACTAAATGTTTCTTGTTTAATTTCTACAAGACTTCTTCATAAAAATCAGTTCACCCATATCTGCTTAAGATAAATATTAAAAGATAATATCTGCTTAGTTCAGAAAGTACAAATACCATCAGGTTCAACAATATTATTTAGATTGCTAAAATTGTAATTCTGTTAACCTATTTAAAAAGAAATATAGATCTATTTTTTAGATGTCAGCTTTTAAGAGAAAAACTCTTTCCTTAAAGTCAGTTAGTTTAAGCCACCCCTTTGTTTTAAAAGAAGTTGGAAGACTTCATATATATATATATGCATATATATATACACACACACATATATATGTATGTGTCTATATACAGCTTTGTCATTAACTAAATGAAGATAAAATGTGAAAAGAAAAATACTTGCAGTATAATTATATTGTTGAGGCAATTCTTATAGTGAAACAGAACCAGGTAATTGTAGAGTTTAGAAAGGGAATCATTCACATTCTCAGACAGTGATGCTTCTCTGATTAGGATACATGCCATAAATCTTTCTCATTCACTAAATTTCTTAATGGATATCTTAATGAAGATAGCTCCACATACCGGTCTCAGGTTAAGTCAGAGGAAGAACTGTAACAGTGATAATAGCTTGCATGTACACAACTGCTACTTTTTCTGTAGTAGAAAATCCAAATTATTCCATTTATGTGGGCTTGAAGTGACGGTAGCACTGAATAATATTGAGGGGAGGAATGACTTCTTAGTAAGTACAAAGATTCTAGAGAAACTTCTATTCAAGCAATGGAGATCAGTAGTGTTCTGCCTCTTTTAAAAACTGAAAGGACAGACAGGAATTGATATAATAGCAGAAGACATTGTATTCCTTGGAAGAATGTTCTAGTGCAAAGTTTTCTGATGGAAGAGATTCTTAAGGCATGAAGTAGGTATGGACTCCTCTCCTCTCCAGTTGAAAAGACAGAATCTGTCAAGCTGGAATCATGGTTCTCAACCAGGACATTTGGGAACATCTGGAGGCCTTTTTGATGGTCACCACTGGGGTGAGGGTAGGGGGTCTTCTGGTATGTAGTGCATAGAGGAGGCCAAGGATGCCACTAAACATCCTATAAAGCACAAGACACTCCCCCAACATACACAGGAAAGATCACCCAGCCCTGCATGTCAATAGTGCTGAGGGTGATAAATTGTGAATCAGAATGATACACAACAAGGATAGGTAAACTTTTTCGGTAAGAGGCCAGATAACAAATCTCTTAGGCTTTGCTGCCACATAACCTCTGCTGCAATTACTCAACTTGGCCTTTGTAACACAAAGTAACCATAGACAATAGTGAACAGGCATGGCTGTGTACCAGTGAAATTTTATTTACAAATACAGGTGGCAGAACCCCATTGGCCCTCTTGCGTTAGTGTGCTGTCTCCCGATAGAAGTCATTTCTACCCTTAGAGATTCCTCAAATTCTTATTTCTCGAATTGGAAAGAATTCCAGTTGGCACAATGACCCTTTGATAGAAGTCTAACTGTAGGAATTACATCCAAGATGAGACAGGATCTCTAGTTTGCAGCAGGAAAATGGAATCTGTAGAATGACACAAATTTTTTAAAAGTTACTCTCGTCTTTGAAAAGAAATACTTTTTTAACTAAGATTTTGCAAAACAGATTTAAAGATTGACGAGCTGGTCAAAAAACAAAAACAAAACAAACAAACAAAAAACAGAAAACAGACAAATGAACAAACCAGGGTACATAAAAACACACTAGTTTTCTAAACCAGAGATGCTTATTTTCTAGCACATGGTGCCATAGAGAGTTGACAAATAGATTCATGGGGTTTATAAACTTGCTGAAACTGAACAGAAAATGGTGTGTGTGTGCGCGTGCATCCTCATATATATGATATTCTTGATCTTCTAAAAATTTTTTACTGCTAAATCATACAAGGTAATTTAGAGAGTATGTTTCAAGAATGAGCTACTTCTCTAAGGCTGCCAGCATAATTAAAAAGTACTACATGATAGCAAATTTGGTTCTACGTCTGGATTTTGTTGTATTTGTTGTTGTTGTTGCTTTTCAGACAAAGTCTCGTTGCGTCACCCTGTCTGGAATGCAGTGGTGCAATCACAGCTCACTGAAGCCTCAACCTCCCAGGTTCACGCAATCCTCTCATCTCAGCCTCCAGAGTAGCTGGGACTACAGGCACATGCCACCACACCTGGCTAATTTTTGTATTTTTTGTAGAGACAGGGCCTCACTTTGCTGGCTGGGCAGGCCTCAAACTCCTGGGCTCAGGCGATCCGCCCATCTCGGCCTCCCAAAGTGCTGGAATTACAGGCAAGAGACACCATGCCCAGCAGGTTCTATGTCTTTGACAGATTCAACTAGTCACAAGTTACCACATTGTTTCTAATCAACAACCTGGCCTCCAATTCATGTCATACTCAATTTGGTCATATAGCAAAGGCCCATTTCTGAGTCTAAAGTTTTGGTACATGCTTAGTATTTATTCTTTGTACTGCCTTGTATGAAAACCGTCTAAGAAGGCTTGCAAAGATAAGTAGGCATAGTGAGATGATGTGAATTTGTAAAAGGGGGTAAAAAGAAAACATGTAGAGACATAAAATGGGGCCATTAATAGAAATGTTTCTACTACAAAGTTCTTCCCATACTATATCAGACATGTCATTTGGTTTATTCGTGCTTCTATTTCCTAATCATTAGACTTGAAATCAATGATTTCTACATGACATTTTCCTTATACTCAGGATTTATCAGTGTACAGTAATCAGTCAACAAACATTTACTAAATCTCCATTGTGAGCGTAGCATTTTATTAGTGGTACAGTGAGTCAGAAGTAAGAGTTTCGCCTACTGAATCATTAACCCCATTTCCTGTATTAAGTGTGCCCTTTTGGGAGTTTCCTCTGTCATCTGGTCCCACAGTAATCGGCTTATGAAATTAGACTTAAATTACAGCCTAACTAAAGCAAGTTCATATGGGGCTCCATAGAATGAGAAAGCAAAGAATAGGAGAAAGAGCAATAAATGCGACAGAGAGTGAAACAAGGAATACTTTGATGAAAAAAAAAAACCACAATGACTTGCAAACACTTTCTTTTAGACATTATGAAACACTAGATTTAAAAAAAAATAAGAGAAATAGATCTAAAATGGGAATGAAATTCTGCAAATCTTCCATGGAGGTCATTGGAGTCACCAACATGAGGAAAAATAAATAATATTCTTTTCCTAGGGGAAAGGGTGTAGGGTTATTCGGCAAGAAGAAAGGGTAAAGAATTTCTCTTTTAAGACTTACAACTGTCAAGACTTAACAGTACTGACCATGCCAAAATTCATTCCTCAAATGTCATATAGCTCTTTATAAAGGTGCTCTATTAAATTTAAAGCTTTAATTTGCTTGTTTGGCGAGCCCCCCACTCACACCATACTAAGTCAGAATCCGAACATTCTAGTTTTCTTCTTTTTTGCTTCCGCTGCATAAAGTTAAAATGCTGAATCATTGTGATGCTCATGGAGGACATAGACATTCTTTAAATTATGGAACAGAGCTACATCTTGCTGCTGTACAGCAGGAAAGTAGAACCGCTCCAGGCAACAAGCACTTAGTCTCTATTTTTATGGTTGTTACCATGTAGTCACAAACAAAAATTGATGATGAAAGAATTAAGTTAATCTATCTCGTGCAATATCATTAGTCACTTCCCAGGTTCTGGAGCTCCCTAAAGCAAAGAGAGAATAAAATTTCAAAATATGACACTGCTGGTTGGTTTTATAGATATCAAGTTGGTACAGGCACATAAATCAGAATCTATTCAAAGTAAGGAGCAGATGTTTGAATTATTCCAACAAAGTAAAATCATCGTCTCTCTTACATGCTACAAATCCACAGCCTTTTCATGAGTATGAAAGCTGCAAAAAAAAAAAAAAACCTGGGATTCAACATCTAGATAATTTACATTCCCTTTGAGCTCTTAGCACCAAAGCAGTGGGACCTGAGGACATCCTAGTATTTCCATTGCCACGATGACCATTTGTGGCAAGCAGTCTCTCTGCAGACGGAGGCAGAAGTAGGCAGAAACCAATCCCATTGAATTTTTAAGATAATGATAATCATCTTTCTTCTTAGCATTTTATTCTAAGCTATCCTTCCAACCAAAATTATGATCATGGTGGAGAGAAAAAATTCAGAAAGTGGAAGAATGTGGAAGGAGGCCACAGAAGAGGTCCTCATTTGAGATTGTTTTTCAACAGACCATATTCTTTCTCCTTTTATGCTCTGCCTCCTTACAATAGGTGGCTTATAGACTTTCACACAGTTCAGGCACATTAAGACACATGATTGTAAGATTAAACTGAGTCTGTCTAAAAAATATAAAATGAATAAGGGTGATGCTATCGTTAAAGAGTTGTTTCCCAATACTTCTTCCAGCTTAAATGCTTATCTGTTCTGTGTACGCCCTATAGTGAGAGATCAGAGACAGCAGAGCCTGTGTCTATCATTTTTACATGGACCATAACTTTCAATAAAGTTTGTATACAGCAGAGCTTTAATAATTAATCATAACAAACTTGAGCTTTCCTACCGTGCGGTCTGCAAGTACATGCCACCTGAGCAAGACGTCAATGAAGCTTTCGTATTTCGAGTTATTTTTGTACTTGAGGAAACTATCATCCTTGTATGGAATAAAAGATGAATCCATCTCATACTGAATCACCATTTATACAATCTTAATGAGAAATTTCCAGCATCACAAAATGACAATAGCATAAACTATCTTCACTGCTATACTCTAATAAAGTATTAGATTTCTATTTCAGTGAAATCTCAAATGTAAGAAAGATATAGTAATACAGAACTAAAAATTAAACAAAGACATTTTGGAAACTAACTTGAATAATTGTCGTAGAATATTACTGAAATGATAAATCAATAAATTTTGAACAGTAGAACAGATTTTCTGCTATTTCATAAATTATTATTCCTGTGAGTGAATAAGTCATCAAAATTTTTTTCAACTTTTATTTTGGATTCAGAGGATACACATGCAGGTTTGTTTTGTAGGTATATTGTGTGTTGCTGAGGTTTTGGGTTCAGATGATCCCATCACCCAGGTAGTGACTATAGTGCCTAATAAGTAGTTTTTCAGCTCGCAGCCCCCGCTCCCTACTTTCCTTTTCTAATGGCCTCCAGTGTCTATTGTTCCCATCTTTAAGTCCACGTGTACTCAATGTTTAGCTCCCACTTTTTTTTTTTTTTTTTTTTGAGACGGAGTTTTGCTCTTGTTGTCCAGGCTGGAGTGCACTGGCGCGATCTGGCTCACTGCAACCTCTGGCCCCTGGGTTCAAGCAATTCTCCTGCCTCAGCCTCCTGAGTAGCTGGGATTACAGGTGCCCGCCACCAAGCCCATATAGTTTTTTGTATTTTTAGTAGAGACGGGTTTCACTATGTTGACCAGGCTGGTCTGGAACTCCTGATCTCAGGCAATCCACCTGCCTCAGCTTCCCAAATTGCTGGGATTACAGGAGTGGGCCACCATGCCTGGCCTATCTCCCATTTACAAGTGAGAACATCCACTAATTGGTTTTCTGTTCCTGCGTTAATTATCTTAAGATAACGACCTCCAGCTGCATCCATGTTGCTGCAAAGGACGTCATTTCATTCTTTTCATGGCTGCATAGTATTCCAAAGAATGAATTTTTGTTACATGGATGAATCTCAAAATAACTATGCTGAGTATAAGCTGCCAGATCTAAAAGAGCACGTACTTTATATCATTTATATAGAATTCTAGAAAATGCATACTAAACTATAGTGATGGAAAACAGACAAACGGTTGTCTAGAGATGGGAGAGGGGCAAGAGGGATGGTTTATAAAAGGGCACAAGAAAACTTCTGGGGCAATGAATATGTTCATCATCTTGATTGTGGTAATGGTTTCATGGCTGTATACAGATGTCAAAATTCATCAAATTGCACACTTTAAATATGTACAGTATATTGTACATCAATCATACCTCAATAAAACTATAAACAAAAAATTCATTGTTTCTGTGAAATTTAAAACTATCAGGGGGAAAAATCACATTTATCTATTTATAACACCAAGAAAAGAATATGACTGGAAATATTTTTTCAAAATATAATGAATTACAAACTATTAAGGTACTTATCAGTTGGAATAACTTCATATTATGATAGAATAAACATGATCTCTCCCATTAACTGTATGCACCATGAGAGTTAGAATTTTCTTTTTAAAATCTTTATATCCCTAGTGCCAGCTCAATTTCAGACACATATTACAGATAACCTCTTCAAAAATTATTCAATGAACAAAGTAATAAATGAATGAATGATTTGGAGGTAAACCAAAATAATACCATGTATGAAAATACCACAGCACCATAGAACATGTACTTTGACGTTCTCTTTCAACCTCAGGTATGAGAGCTGATTTAGTCAGCTGATTTAGTCATCTACACTCTTCTATCAAGGTTACCCTTGTCAAATTGACCAGACAGGAGTTGGATGCAATTTGTGGTCAAAGCTAACTAGACCAGTGTCCTACATGCTGTCTTTTCTGAAGCTTTTGAGGGTTTGGCTTTAGACTTTGTTAGGGCAAGTCTAGAGTTGATTTCACTCTAGGTGTTTTCTTCTGTGGGTTCCAGGGATGTTACAAAAGTGTTGTTGTGACCACTTGTCTCTAGTGGGACTGGAACCACCATATCTTTCTGTAGACCCTTCTCACAGCATGCTTAGCCTTTCTCTATTCTGCTCTCAATCCTATAGTAGCTACTCTCTAGTAAGTTTCAGGTGGTCTCATCCTGCGCACGAATAGCCCAGTCCTCAGCCATAAACTGATGAATGACCTCAATATGGACTTGTGGGCCTTCTTGCTGGAAAGTTGTTTCATTTCTTATGCCGTGACTCACAGTTTCCAGCCATTTCAACTACCCCAAACTCTGATCTCTACTGCGTTGGCTCAATGGAATCCCCATGCTCAGCTCAGACTCCAGTTCTCTGTACCACGGTGAAGAAATTATCCCCAAGCAAAATGTTAGGGTATCTCTCTCTCTCTTTTTGTTTTTTGCACTGTATTTCATGCTGAATTTATTAATTATTTTTACTAAACACAACTTGGAAAGTCAAATTTTCTTAAACTTTTAAACATTGTTTATGAAACTTATTTCATTAAATTCCCTTAAATAATTTAAGCTGCAATCACAGTTTAATAGGACTGATTCTTTGGACTACTTTAGATACTTTAAACAGACAAACCATATACAAAATAACAATTATAATACTTAAAGGAATATTATATTTAAATCTGTTATGAACTAGCAATACTATAGATTTAATTTCTGTCTTCATTTTTTTTTAACTTTTATTTTAGGTTCAGGGGAACATGTGCGGGTTATTTATATAGGTAAACTGCGTGTCATGGGGGTTTGGTGTACAGATAATTTCATTACCCAGGTAATAAGCATAGTACTTGATACGTATTTTTTTCTGATCGTCTCCCTCCTCCCAGCCTCCACCGTCAAGTAGGCACCAGTGTCTTTTGTTCCCCTCCTCATATCCATGTGTTCTTATTTAGCTCCCAGTTATAAGTGAGAACATGTGGTATTTGGTTTTCTGTTCCTGGTATTTGGTTTTCTGTTCCTGTGTTAGTTTGCTTAGGATCACAGCCTCCAGCTCTATCCATGTTGCTGCAAAGAACATAATCTTGTTCTTTTTTATGGCTATGTAGTATTCCATGGTGTACATGTACCACATTTTCTTTATCTAGTCTACTGTTGATGGGCATTTAGGTTGAGTCTATGTCTTTGCTATTGTGAATAGTGCTGCAATGAACATACACAGACATATGCAATTGTCTTTACAGTAAAACAATTTATATTTGTTTGGGTATATTCTCAATAATGGGAATATTGGGTCAAATGGTAGTTCTCTTTTAAGTTCTTTGAGGAATCGTCACAGTGCTTTTCACAATGGCTGAACTAATTTACACTTGCACCCGCAATGTATAAGCGTTCCATGTGGGTGTATCTCACAAGCTTTCTTCTCTAAGATCTAGCTACCTAAAAACAATTACCTCATATATTTCATTGAATTCCATGATTACTTATAGTGGAAAGGCTAAGTCAGTACCAGACACTCCATCATGGCTAGAAATAGCATTGAATGTAACAGAATGGAAGGGGCTAGGATAAGATGGGATATACAGCAGCATGTCTCTAGTAAAGGTAAATACTCTTTTGTAAAACCTTTATTTCAGTTGAATATGCCTGCATGTGTACTGGATATCAAAGTAAAATATATGAATATATTTTCTGTGCTTCAGAGTCAAAAAAAGTTTAAAAGTCATTGAACCAGATCAAAACACATGCCTTGATTTTTTAAATATAGAGTTGAATTCACCTCAGATACTGTCAATTCAGAAGATGGTTTTTCAAGATTAATATCTTTTCAACCTAATATTTATCCATTCTTTCACTAAAAATATTATAAGCTACTTAGATAATTTGACTTATTCTAAGTGTAAAGAAAGAGTTTTCATATAGGAGACTAAACCCATCACTCTCCTGCTTGTAATGTCTTTCAATGATTCTCTATCATCTAGACTAGTGCCTCTTACATTTTAGTATGTGTACGAATCACCTGGGGGTCCCATTGAAATGCAGATTCTGATTCAGTAGGTCTAGGTTAGAGCTTGAGGTTCTGCATCTCCAGCAAGTTCCTAGGTGATGCCAATGCTGCTGTTCTGTGGACTGCAGTGAGAGTAGCGAGACCTTAGAGCAGAGGCCAGCAAACTTTCATTATAAAGAGCCAAACAGTAAGTAGTAAAGCACCATATGCAGTCTCCGATGCTGCTGCTGCTTCTCCTTCTCTTCCTTCTTCTTCAAGCATATGTGAAAAACCTTTCTTTGCCCATTGGCCTTAACAAAACAGAATACTGACCTGTAGATTGTGCTTTGCTGACACCTGATTCACAACAGCCCTGGCCAACAGAAATACCATGCAAGTCACATGTGTAACTTTAAATTTCAAAGTAGCTACATTTAAAAAAATGTTTAAGGAACAAATATAATTATTATTAATAATGTATTTTATTTAGTCTAACATAGTCAAAATATTATTTTTCAACACATAATCAATATAAAATTATTAATTAGATATTTTACTTTTTTACACGAGTCTTTGAAAAACAATGAGTATTTGCCCCTTCCAGCACATTTTAATTTGGACTAACCACATTTCCAGTGCTCAATAGCTACCAGTTGCTGGTGGCTACTGTAATGGACATCGCAGATCTAGAAGAAAAAGTCTTTGGCATACGTTGTCCTTAATGATCTGTCCGGGCTCATCTTTCCAGCTTCACATCCTACATCTCACCCAAACACACTTGACATTCTCGTCACACTGTACTAATTCCACTTCTTAGTATGTCGTTCCTTCTACTTGGAACGGCTCATCTCACCTGTTGCCTACCTGAAAACTTTACTCACCCTTTCCCTAAATAGATGCAATTACAATAGGATTAAATGCATTAAAATGACACTAGATACTTACCAAAAAAAATTGTATCATGTTACAAAAATGAAAGCTGGTGCTAATTTTAAAATAAAGTATAAATTTTAAAATAAAAGTATGAATTTTTAAATAAAGTACTGAGAAACTGGTAAGTTAATTATATATTTTAATATCATATTAAAGTATTTCTATAATATTAATGTGTTCTAAGTGAAAGGCCTTTTTTTCTTTTGTAAAGCAGAATTTTTTTCCAAAAGCATTTGAAATATGTTTATTTATCACCATGTCGTCCATAAATATGTTTGATATTATTGCTTCTGTTTAACAATCATGAAACTAAGACTTTCAGGAGGTTAAATGACTTTGCCATGGGCTCAAAAGGTATATTAAAGATTTCATTTTTTCAGAAGTTCTTTGAAACTAGATAGTCCTTTACTACCTGGGGTAATAAAAGCAGTGACTTAAACGTTAAGATCAGCTGAGATAACTTCTAAGGTAAGAATAGTGGTATCGTCCAAAGGGTTTGCTACCCTCCAAAGGCTCTGATATCCTGTGTTTAATTCCACCTTTTGTCCCTGAGAGTGTGAGAAAGATACAAACTCACGAGACCTCAATTTCCTCACTATAAGGGATCACAGACCTCTCAGATTATAGGAATGACCAAATAATATGTTATAGTATGCAAAATTTTCCTCTAAGATTTTATTTCTATGACCTGAGCACATTTTTAATAAAGTCAGATCTTCATAAAACGGGACAATCTCTCCTCAGAGGTTCGGCTAGACCATGAGTTTCTCCTAGAATAAGTCAAAAGATGTACGTTGTGATCTGGGAATCATTTTAATCCTGTGAGCTTTGGCTAATACCAGTGGCACTCACCCCTGGCTGCATATTAGCATTTCTGGGACACTTTTAAAGGTGCCGATGCCCAACCAGTAATATTGCAATATCTGGGGTCAGGGGCAGGCATAGATAACTTTTCAAAGTTCCACCAGCCTTTCCCAGGTGATTCTATTGTGCATTCAGGCTGAGAACTGCTGGGTCCACCAGGCTCAGGTTCTTTGTTTGCAAAATAAGACTAATTCTTTGTTCATGGATTGTTGTAAGGATTAAAGAAGACAATGTGTTATATAAGCACCTGACATATTTGAGAAATTAAATAAGAATTCCTTCCCATCCTGAGGCTCCTCCAATGAATTCTCCTACTTTCTAATTGGTTGGATACTAGAGCTGTTTTCCTCTCAAATAGTATTTTTTTTTCAATAGGTTGGTTTGTTTGGTGCTTTCAGTTTAAACTGACCAGTAGCATTTGGCAGTGAATCAACCACAACCCACATGAGGAATATTATATATTTCCCACCTGCACTGTCAGTTGGGGAGCCTCCCTAAGCAGGGATAGGCTATTAAAAGACTCCCCTCCCTCCCCACTAGCTGGATAACCCCCAGAAAGACTTCTCCTCCCTCTTAAGAATATTATAACTTTTTTTTTTTTTTTGAGACTGAGTCTGTCTCTGTCACCCAGGCTGGAGTGCAATGGCACAATCTTGGCTCACTGCAACCTCTGCCTCCTGGGTTCAACCGATTCTCCTGCCTCAGCCTCCTGAGTAGCTGGGATTACAGGCATGCACCACCATGCCCAGCTAATTTTTGTATTTTTAGTAGAGACAGGGTTTCACCATGTTGGTCAGGCTGGTCTCGAACTCCTGACCTCATGATACACCCACCTCGGCTTCCCAAAGTGCTGGGATTACAGGCATGAGCCACTGTGCCCGGCCTATAACTTTTATTGATTTACGATGCATCATTCCTTCATCAGAATCTCCTGGGATGTCTTTAAAAGGCAGATTCCTGGGCCCCATTCTCAAGCTACCTAATCAGACTCTAGAATTGTGACCCTTGCAATTACCTTTTTAACAAGCTTCTCAGGTGGTCCTTCTGCACGCTAATATTTGGGGAACATTGACATGGAGGAAAGGGATAACTATAGATCCAGCCATCAAATTACTCAGGTTAATTTCCTACCTACTGCGATTTACTCAGAGACCAGAGAGGAAGGTAAAAATGTTGAAGCTGGGGCGGGGTCAGGGGGTGGTTCTTTTCTTTTTTGTTTCTTTTAACATCTAAATAGCTCTCTGCTTTCTAAAATGTTCTCTTGACCTTGAAAACTTTTTGCTCTCACAATGTCTTAGGGCTGGAAGGGCTCTTAAATATCATCTAATTCAATCCTTTGTTTTATGAGAAAGAAAGGGTGCAACTTTCCCAAAGTTACCAACCTGGTGTCACCATATATCGCAGGGTTAATAGCTATCTACTCTTCTTTTAAAAGATAAAAATGTTTGCACTGGTGGCTCCGTGAAGATCATAGCCCTACACTGGCCAGCATTTGTGCATACACAGCTTTGCCTATTAAAAAAAATCCATTAAAAACAATTCATCTTCCTGTTCTCTGAAATTTAAAAACATATCCCACTTCACAAATTAGAGGAACGGTCTCTAGTCAATGAAAACTTCACACAAGAGGGCAGATTTTAAATTATAACTGAACACAAAAAGAGGGTTATATGCTGGCTGTAACAGATTTGGAAATGATTTACTTTGAGACACATGAGACTGTAGGGCAAAAGCGCCTTGCATAAAGGTAAATGATTGTCAGAGCCAGGGACCTGCTAAGTCACAGTCCTACACAGGTGATACATTGTCCCAGCTAACTGACTCCTCGATGGGTGCAGAAAGTCAGCATGGAACATTATCTGCAAATTCAGAAGAATCAATTCAATGAGCAATGGAAACTGAGAACACCGTATCATTAGAATAATCCCTTTTACAGTCATAGCTTTGGAATTCACAAATGTACATTTACAGATACATGAAGCATTCTACTTGTTTACTTAACCTGGCTTCCTGCTATTATTGCTCTCATTTTTATTATGAAGTGTTTTTACGTTTCTGAAGCTTGATTCATTAAATAATTGCCATCCTCCTATCTGGGTCATTGGTCATATTTATCGCAAAAGAAAACTACAAATCATTATTCAAGAGCAAATTCCACATATTTTCCACGTCCTAAACTTTTCAACCTCTCTTCTTTTGCACTGAGGGGGATTCGTTCCAAGGAACAGCACATTCCCCAGAGGTAATCTGACCGGAGCAGGAGGGGAACAGGGTTGGTCCTCTACAGAGAAGTTCACAGTGTTTTTGCCATTTGCTGTCCTTCGTGTTAGGCTTTGTTTTCTAAACATCATTAAGAGGTTTTAAAAATAAACCTGTGGTGGAACTGGTTAAAAATCACCTTAATTCCTAAAGCGTGGGGAAAATTTACACACACACACACACACACACACACACAGAAACACACCTCTTCCTTTTCCTCTTCTTCACAGAATAAGCAGGTCATTGTTTTTGACTATTCATTTCACTGTAGAAGAAAACATAAATAAAATATAACGGGGTGAATGGATCACATCATTAACTTAAACTCCCCCATACTTGGGAAGAATATACAGTTCACAAAGTAATGAGGTGCCTGGAGTTTGTGCGTCGGAAGTGTTCCTGTTTATAACTTATGTACACAGCATTCTCCTTGGCTCTTTCTGTTTTGTTTTTTCCTTCTATTCTTTTTTTCCACTGCAGTCATGGTAGAGCCTAGATTCACTTTTTGTAATTGTGTTTCCTGAATTGCTAAGTAAGCTATTTTTAAAAACTCATATAAAATAAACAATTTCAAGAGTCTTAAAAGTCAAGGGCTATTTGATGTCCCTAAACGAATGGGAAGAAAAGACTCTTTCACCTTCTAAAATAATATTTTCCTAGAAAAATCAATGGGCTCAACAAGAGAGGGAGGAAAGGAAGAACCACTATTACCAAGGGCTTACTGCCAGGTATCGTGTTAGCTGCTTGAAGGATAGATCTCATTTTTTCTCACAACAACCTTCTAAGGTCAAAATTATTATCCCACTTAACAGAGAACAAAGACTCAGAACTGTTAAACGATTCACTGATATTATAAAACAGCAAATGGAGAGGATGGATTCAAATATAGACTGGCTTGACTGACTCAAGAGGTCGTGGGTTCTTTCCATACTGTTTGAAGATGAATCCTTTTTTCTTTGCAAAGATATCATAAGTTGTTTCCATTGTCTATGGGAATTTTTGTTGTTGTTGTTGTTGTTGTTGTTTGTTTTGGTTTGTTTGATTAAATTATGTTATCTGATCTGCCATCAGGAGAGAGATAATTAGAACCTTGGAATTGTGGTGCCCGAAAGCCCCACTAACATCTCTTCCGTGTCCACCTAAAATGTGGGTTATGATGATTTAATATCAACTGAGCCCAATTACTCCCAACTGTGAGGGAGAAAACTAAGCCATCCCAACTAAGACACATGCAGGGCCACTGAGACAGTCGACAAAGAGGGTGTGGGCTGAGCTTATGAGAGAAGGTGCAGAGTGATGTGTTGCGTGGATTCCTCTGGAAAGGTACCATGGGCCCTTTGTATCCTTAGAAACCTGCTCACATGCAGACACTGGGTGATATGTTGGGTAATTCCTGACCCTTGTTGCAGCTCAAAAAGCTGATGATGCTAGAAACTAGGATATCTCCCATCCAACATACAGGAGCCTCATGGAATCAGAGGCTATGGGAAGACACAGGGGAGCAGGCTCTGCTCTGCTAAAGAGAGGAAATCTTTAGACGCAAGCCATTCTTGCTTTTTGCTTTAACCACATCATAAAAGAGCATAAAAAAAATGGAAAACTAAGTCCTTTCACACCATTGTCGTTTCTCAGAATCCTTCCAGCATCCAGTATAAGTGTAATGAAAACAGTATAACCCCTCCAATGAGACTGACCTAGTTTTTTATCATTGATAAACAATTCACCAGTTCAATGAACCTCTCTGAGTCTCTGTGACCTCATTTGCAGAACAGGGATACTAATACCAACCTTACCACACCATTTCAGGGATTAGAGATAATGGAAGTCAAAACACCCAGAAGATCCTCAGGCATGAACCCTGCCATCATTGGCTGGTTATTTTAGCCCTAAATAGTACTCAGGTCTTAAACATTGATTCTAACAGCTTTCCCAAGGTAGATAGATCTTCTCTTAATATCCTTGATGGAAACAGTTTCAATACTTCCTTCTTTGAAAGACAGTCTGGGCCCATTATTTGATCTTTAAAGAAAATGATGAATTAATTGGTTAATGTTCAGCTCTTTGGAGAATTAGAAAACTGTCCCATAAGGTTGTTCAAACAGACTCAGATGGCAAGAAGTACAGATGAGTTTTGAGTTTGAGCAAGGTAGAATAAATGAGTTAGTGAAATGTTAAGGAGCAAACACCTAGGGCATGAAGCACATTAAATCTCTTGGGAAAAAAAATGCTTTTACCTTCACAAAGTAGCATGTTAATGCCACAATTATATTCACATGTGTTTAACTGTCCTGGCAAAATTTTTTGTTCACAGTTTGAGGTAATAAAAGTATTCGTTTTATACTTACTGAATAAATGATGTCTAAAATGAAAAGATTTTATTAAATAGTCAAAGATTGTCTTTGTTATTTGATTTTTAAGAAATTATTTTGCACCATGCCTGTCCTCCTGCTTTCCCCAACATAGCCACTCAAAAATTAGAAAATTTCCTCTCAGCAGCATCAGGTCTGTGGTTAAAAAATGACCTCAACAGATACCCTGTGCTGGTGCACAACTCATTTGGGTCCTGTGTTCCAATGAAAACACCATATGAAAGGGCTAAGTCAAGGGCATAAACAGTTAAATTCATCCATAACTAAACACATTTGTCAATTTCCAAGACAAGATAAATGTATGATCTTTGAAACCCAACTTAACCATGGGAAAAATGCTTCTGAGATAACATTAATGCCACGAAATGATAATTGGACCTAAAATACTAGAAATGGGTGAAAAATCTGAGCTGTCTGCAAATAAACAGTGGCTCTGTTTTCATCTTTTTCAGAAAATGAATTTAAGTTGAGGTGTACAAACACTTGAGAGAGAGACTAAAGTAGCTATCTCCAAAGAAGAAAATTATCACCCTGTTCAAGTCATTGAACAGCCTTAATTGTGCTCTTTAGACCCTGCTCACAAATATGACCCAAGAATACAGCTGGTATTGTGGGAATTAAAGAAGTATAACTAAAATTAGAAATTTGATTAGATTAATTTTTAATCTTTTTTTCATCATATAGTTTGGTTCTTGTGCAGGGAATAATTTGAAAGTTGACAAAGTAAGTAAAGCTTTGAATATTTACCCTTCACTTTCTATCAAAATTGCCAGTGGTAACAATTATATACAATTTGGAAATAGACAACTATACTAAGAAATTTCACTGCAGGTACTATATTCTACACCCAAACTGAATCAAATTTAAATTGCTTTGCTTAATAGGAGAAAAGAAACAAAAAGCAAAAGTTGATCAAATATTCCAAAGAATAAGCTGCTTCTGGAACACTCAGCTTTTCTTGTGTGGTTTTGGTCTTGGTTTTTGATGTATAATTTACAACAGTAAAATGTACAAATTTTTAGTATGCAGCTAGAGTAATTTTTAGCTAGGAACATACCCAGTAACTAAGAAATAGACTATTTTCATTACCTCAGAAAGATCACTAGGGCCCCTTCCTCATCAAGGAAGTTCTGTAATGTAACTGGCTTTTCTCTATATTTTCATTGATTCCTTTGCTTGAGAAATAAGTAAACACATGCTGAAGAGGCCTTCACTCAATAATTACTTGTAGCACACATTTAGAGTGCTAATCACTAGGAATCTAAACATAAAACAATGATAATTCCTCTTGCCTTCAAACTGTTCCCAGTCTTTTTAATTTTAGAATTCCAATGTATTATATTTCAATATTTAAAGTATACCTTCAGGCCGGCATGGTGTCTCACGCCTGTAATACCAGCACTTTGGGAGGCCGAGGCAGGTGGATCATCTGAGGTCAGGAGTCTGACACCAGCCTGACCAACATGGTGAAACCTATCTCTACTAAATACAAAAAATTAGCCAGGCATGGTAGCACATGCCTGTAATCCCAGCTACTTGGGAGGCTGAGGCAGGAGAATCGCTTGAACTCGGGAGATGGAGGTTGCAGTGAGCCAAGATTGCACCATTACACTCCAGCCTGGGCAACGGAGTGAAGCTCCATCTCAAAAAATAAAAATAAGTAAGTAATTTTAAAAAATAAAGTATACCTTCAGCAATGCAACAGATTCCTGGATCAGGTATCCTGCTGTAGATGATGGCTAGATGAACCACCAGAAATGTTGGTATCTATCCCAGAAACCACTCCATCTACCTTGGAAATGTACTACCTTTTTATTTTTTATTTTTTTAACATGCAAGGCTTTTCATTTGCAAGTGCTTTTTCTTTTCAACATCAGTGAGACCTACACTATTCTCCTATGCAGAATTTGCTCTGGCCTTCTTACATTTACTAATTTACATGTTTCCATATTTGCCCTTACCCAAATGAGTCATTCTTTCAATTGCTCCAGAAGCCATTTTCTGACTAAATGAATATACCCTCAGAGTTCACACATCAGAAGCTTATAAAATGGTAATAAAGAGGAACAGTAAATAAAATCACTTGCCAGTCCCACTGTCCCCATTTTAGATCCATAATCGCTTTTAGTAACTAGACGTGATTGCCTGGAATTACTGTCACGGCTCCATTATTTTCAGCCTTAGAATAATAATCTTCTCCGGAGTATTTTGATTTTGTTTGTTTAGTTTTAGTTCATTGTTCTTTTTCTCCCACCTTGAGTTCCATATTTGGTTTCCTTCTATTCTTGTAGAACTATGGATTTGCTTCTGATATGAGTTTGATGCCATTCAGTTTTTTTCCAAACAGGTTCATATTCATAATTTTTAACCCAGACTGTAATAATTTGAGCAAGTAGTGTTGCGAAAAGTATTTCTTTTTAAATATTTGGGAAAAGTTTAGGGGTTTTTTTCCATTTTATTATTCATTTCTAGTTAATAGTAACTAGACTTCAAATGTTCTCAATCCTTTTAATTTTAGAATTCCAATATATTATATTTCAATATTTAAAGCATACTTTCAGCAATGCAACAGATTCCTTGCATTCAGAAAGTGTGGTTCGTTTTTTAGGACTGTGTGTGCATGCATGTAAATGAACATATGATCAACTTTTGGAAGTATTTCACGAACACATGAAAAGGATGTGTAGTTTATTTTATTTCATATATAATGATAAGTTCAACTTCATTAATTGTATTGTTCAGATTCTGCATGCTTTTATTTTAGAGTAAGAGTTAATAAGAAAGTTCTGGGGAAATGGAAAGATTAAGTTATTATTTTTGTTAGTTTCTCTCTTATTTGTAAAGTTTCTCTATGTATGTTTTTCCCCACTGTTATCCAGTGAAAATTGAAATGAATACATTTTTGTTGATTCTACCTTTTATTAATCTATATATTTCCTCTTTCCATTAATGATTTTGTCTTACAAAATATTGTTACCCCGTTTTCTTTTTTGTTATATTGGTTGATAAACCTTTGGCCATCATTATTTTGATCTTTAATTAACTGAGAATCTTGGATACCTAATGATGTTTTAAAAGCTTTTAAATTTAATAATATGACAAATGTGTTTAATCATCTTGTTTGTAATGTATGCTTTTTATGCATCCTTGTTACATCTTGGACTTTTTGTTTTTATTCTTTATTCCTTGTTACATCTTTGTTTTTATTCATATAAAATAAGAACTGTGTTTTGTTTATTTTTACCTTCTCTAGGATCCTGTTAAAAGGCATACACCCAATGTTTTAATTCTTATAGTGATAATATTTCAGTTTAAAAAATAACATATATTATACCATATATAGGTATAATACATATATTTTACACTCTTATTATCAAAGTCAAGAATAAAATGTTAAGTTTTGAGTCTTACCTATACAAGATCAGAAATTCATTCGTGATTTCCTAATCTTGTTAATATAATTAGGAGTTTTAAAGTCAAGTTATTGTTGTAGAATTACTATTTTACATTTTGTGGCTTTTCTTTCAAAATTTCTTTTGACATTTGGGTTGAGGGAAGGCTTCCTCTTTACCCCCGATGTTTCCTCCCATGTAGATGTATGACTCTTCTCGTCTTCTTCCACTTTTTACTCACATCTCCAAGGAGTACAAAAGTGGCTTAAACTAGTCTATTTTGAAAGAACAGGCATGCTCAGCTATGCTCCATGTTTTTCCTGGCTGGGAGTTGACTTACCCCAGGGAGTAAGAGCTCCTCTCTGCTGTCTGTGCCATAAGTTTTATTTGTCATAGGGAGACTTCCCCAAAGTAGAACGCTATGAGTGGGCAGGTAAATTTGCCTAATTTTGAGGTTCAGTAGCAAGTCCATTAGTCTCTCACCCTGAGTTATTATTAAGGGTTGAATTGTGTATCCCAAAAATTCATTTTGATGTCCTAACCCCAGTACCTATGAATGTGACCTTATTTGAAAGGGTCTTTGAGTGGATGGTCTCTAAGCCATTGTTCTTGGTGTCTTCATAAGAAGAAGAAGAGACACACGGAGAGAAAACAGCCATGTGACACCAGGGGCAGAGATTGGAGTGATGCATCTACAACCCAAGGAATGCCAAAGATTGCCAGCAAACACCAGAAGCTCGAAGGGGCAAGGAATGATCTCCCATACATGTCTCAGAGGAAGCATGGCTCTGATAACAGCTTGATTTTGGACTTCTGGTCTTCAGAAATATGAGACAAATTTCTGTTGTTTTATGCCACCTAGATGGTGGTACTTTGTTATGGCGGCCTTAGTGAATGCATACAGTTATGTCTCCAGCTTAGTCTTTGTCAGTAATAAAGATGATTTGGGTGCTGTCTCTGCTCTCTGTTGTCTTATTTCTCCATTGGTTGCAAACTTAGCCAGAGCCCCTAAAAAATCTCAACATTTTGGCACAATGGCTGGGAATTTTGAAAAAAGAATAGGAAAGGTGCTTAGCAGGCCGGTCCCCAAATTCAGCTGAGTCTTCCTGAACAGAGCAAAAGAAGAGCAGAGAGAAAGAAAACACTAGAAGTTGATCCTATGATTGCAGAAAACAATACAGCCAGAAGAAATGCTATACACTTGGCCTGCCATATCCCAAAGCAAACGAAAGATAGCACCGTGAAGCACATGGAAAGAGTGTTTCTCCTCAATAGGTCTCAGGGACAGAAGCTTCAGAAGCATCAGCAGAAGCCACAGTTCAGGAGTCTACTAAGGAGACTGTCAACCTGAAATAAACACAGAGACTAGGGAGACACATCTACGTTTTGCTGAAAGAGTGTCTCAGATGCCCCTTCTGCTAGAGGAGCCAGGATGCAGTGTGGCCTTTACCAAACAGCCACTAAATACATAGGCCAATGTTAACATCTTTCTGGGAAATTCTTCTCAAACCGATTTTAAGTTTTAGGTTATTATTCCAGAAAATTAACATACATCGATTGACACCTTGAAAAGCTGAAGATAAAAACAAGATTTTCTTCTTCATTCTGATTCCTTGAGCTTCTGCTCCGGTGTTTGGCAATCCTAAAAAGAGGAGTACTAGAAACATTGTTTTGCCTGGCACTGCTGATTTTGGATCTGTAGCCCACTTACTTTTGCACCTTTGTAAGTGTGAGGCTAGAACTGTGGTAATCTCATGGATTGTTAACTATTCAGACTCTTAAAAGGGAGGCACATATTAGAGACTTGAACTGAAACGGATTTAATTTCTAGAGTCCTGAAAAAATCCCACAGAGCCCCAGCTGTGGCTGTGGATGGAACTGTACCTCTAATCAAGTGAACAGGGCCCCCTCTGGCTAGGACTGAGCAGTGTATAAACTAAGAAAGACTGTAATATCCTTAGATTTTTAATTCATGGGGTGAGAAAGATAAGGCAAATTCGTTGGGAGCTTTTTGTTTTGTTTTATTTATGGGCTTAAACTACCAAGGAATACAATCTTGGGCCTTCTCATTTGTCTCTGGAAATTTCATCATTACAGAGGATAATTATTCAAATATATGCTGTCTTCATATTGTGGGTGTTGCATCTTTGAAGTATGTTTAGGCCTCTACAATCCTCTCTGCATCTCTCCAAGTTAAGATAATTTTGTGGTAAATCCATATTTAGTGTTTGTGTAATTATACATTATATAATTAAAACCGTGCAAACATTATTCACAGTTGAACATTCTAATATACTATTGTGTTTTCTTTTTTCTTCCATGGAGTTAGTAATTGCTTGGTTTATAGTTTTTCCTTTTTTTTAAGTTTCCTTTTTACCTTAGCTAAGTACATTTAATGTGCCAAGCACATTCTAGTAGGATCTCAGTGCAGTTTTCCAGGAGGTTAATCACCTTGTAAACATCCCTCTTGGAGACTTATATTGTCCTTCTGGTTAGGTTAGACTGTTTGCTAGTCAGGCCTCCTGCATAACTGTCATCCTGGAACTCTCCCATTACTTTTCAACCTCTGTCCTGTGGTGGGTCTCCTCATACCTGAGCCCATGTCTTCATGGTCCTCATTTACTCCCTTGTTTTTGATAGAGTACATTTTCCGGAAGCTTCTCGAGAACAGATGTATAAAATACAATGTTTGAAATTCTTATTCAGCCTTCAACCTTGATTGATAGTTTGGTGAATAAAATAATTCAAATATGGAAATTATTTTTCCTTCATAATTTTGAGAGAGCAATTCTCTGTTATCTTTAAGCTTCATGTATGGCTATTAAGAAATCTGAAGCCATTCTCACTTCTGACCCTTTATATTATTCTTTTCTCCCTTGAAGCTTATAGGACCTTCTCTTTTTTCCCCAGTGTTCTGAAATATTGCAATGCTTACCTTGTTATGGATACATTTTCATCCATTTGTAGGCATTCTTTTTTAAATTTTAAATTTTAATGGATACATAGTAGTTGTACATATTTATGGAGTACATATACAAGCATACAATGTGTAATTTGTATATTCATCGCTTCAAATATTTATCATTTTTTGTGCTGAGAACATTCCAAATAGCTATTTTGAAATAGGCAATAAATTATTAATTACAGTTGCCCTATTGTGCTATTGAACACTAGAATATATTTCTTCTATCTAGCTGTATTTTTGTGTCCATTACTAATCCCTTTTCATCCCCTCTATCCCATACCTTTCCCTATGGTAACCACCATTCTATTCACTATCTTCATGAGATCAATTCTTTTAGTTCCCGCATATGAGTGAGAACATGTGATATTTGTTTTTCTATGCCTGGCTTATTTCACTTAACAGAAATGCCCTCCAATTCCATCCACCTTGCTGCAAATGACAGAATTTCATTCTTTTTTCATAGTTGAATAATATTCTCTTGTGTGTGTGTATACACGTCACATTTTTTTAATTCATATATTAGTGGACACTTAGGTTGATTTCATATCTTGGTTACAGTGAATAGCGCTGCAATAAACATAGGAGTGCAAATATCTCTTTGGTATACCAGCTTCCTTTTTGGGGGATATATATCCAGCAGCAGGATTGCTGGATCACATGGTAGTTCTATTTTTAGATTTTGAGGAACCTCCATACTGGATTTCATAATGGTTGTACTAATTTACATTCCCACCAACAGCGTGAGAATGTTTTCCTTTCTTCACATTCTCATCAGTATTTGTTATTTTCTGTCTTTTTGATAATAGCTATTTTAGCTGGGGTGAGACAATATCTCATTGTAATTTTGATTTGCATTTCCCTGATAATTGGTGCTGCTGAACATTTTTTTCATACCTGTTGGCTATTTATATGACTTCTTTTAAGAAATGTCTATTCAGGCCGGGCGCTGTGGCTCACGCCTGTAATCCCAGCACTTTGGGAGGCCGAGGTGGGCGGATCACGAGGTCAGGAAATCGAGACCTTCCTGGCTAAAACGGTGAAACCCCGTCTCTACTAAAAAATACAAAAAATTAGCCGGGCCTGGTGGCGGGCGCCTGTAGTCCCAGCTACTCCGGAGGCTGAGGCAGGAGAATGGCGTGAACCCAGGAGGCGGAGCTTGCAGTGAGCCGAGATTGCACCGTTGCACTCCCGCCTGGGCGACAGAGCGAGACTCCATCTCAAAAAAAAAAGAAAAAAAAAATGTCTATTCAGATCTTTTGCCCATTTTTTAGTCAGATTATTTGTTTTTTGCTATTGAGTTGTTTCAGTTCCTTACATATTCTGGATATCAATCCTTTGTCAGGTGGGTAGTTTGCACATACTTTCTCCCATTTTGTGGACTGACTCTCCGCTTGTTGATTGTTTCCTTTGTTGTGCAGAAGCTTTGTAGCTTGATGTGATCCCATTTGTCAATTTTTGCTTTGGTTGCCTGTGTTTTTGTAGCCTTACTCAAGAAATTTTGCCCAGACCAATGCCCTAAAGTGTTTCCCCAAATTTTTTGGTAGTACTTTCATAGTCTTAGGTCTTAGATTTAAGTCTTCAATTCATTTTGAGTTAACTTTTTCATGTGGTGAGAGACAGGAGTCTAGTTTTATTCTTCACCATGTGAATATCCAGTTTTCTCAGCACTATTTATTGAAGAGACTGTCCTTTCCTCAATAAATGTTCTTGTAGCTTTTGTCAAAAAGGATTTGGCTATAACTGTATTGATTTATTTCTAGGTTCTCTACTCTATTCCACTGGTCTTTGTGTCTATTTTTATGCCAGTACTGTGTTGTTTTAATTAGTACAGTTTTGTGTTTTGTAGTATATTTTGAAACAAGGTAATGTGGTACCTCCAGCTTTGGTCCTTTTGCTCAGGATTGCTTTGGCTATCTGGGCTCTTTTTGTGGACAGCGTTTTTTCTATTTCTGTGAAGAATGTGATTGGTATTTTGATAGGGATTGCACTTCAGCTATAAATCATTTCAGGTACTACAGACATTTTAACAATATTAATTCTTCCAATCTATGAACATGAGACATCTTTCCATTTTTTGTGTCCTTGTCAATTCTTTCATCAGTGCATTATAGTTTTCATTGTAAAGATGTTTCACTCATTTGGTTAAGTTTATTCCTAGGATTTATTTTTTGTAGCTATTGTAAATGGGATTGCTTTCTTGGTTTCTTTTCAGATCGTTCACTGTTGGCATATAGAAATATTACTGGATTTGTATTCTACTTTTGTTTCCTGCTTCAGTACCAACTTTACTGAATTCATGTATCAGTTCTAACAGTTTTTTGGTGGAAGCTTTAGGCTTTATTAAATGTAAGATCATATCATCTGCAAACAAGGACAATTTACCTTCTTCCTTTCCAGTTTGGATGCTCTTTATTTCTTTCTCTTGCCTAATTGCTCTGGTGAGGACTTCTAGTACTATGCTGAATACAAGTGGAGAAATTGGGCATCCTTGTATTGTTTCAGATCTTAGAGGAAAGGCTTTCAGTTTATCCCCATTCAGTATGATGCTAGCTATGGGTTTGTCATAATGACTTTTGTTGTTTTGAGGTATATTCCTTCTATACTTAGTTTGTTGAGGGTTTTTATCATGATAGATGTTGAATTTTATCAAATGTTTTTTCTATATCTGTTGAAATGACCATGGCTTTCATCCTTGATTCTATTAATTTAATGTATCAAATTTATTGATTTGCATATGTTGAACCATCCTTGCATTCCTAGGATTAATTCCAATGGGTCATGGTTTTAAATTCAGTTTGCTAGTATTTTGTTGAAGATTTTTGCATCTATATTCATCAGGGATACTGACCTGTAGCTTTCTTTTGTGTGTATGTGTCCTTGTCTGGCTTTGGTATCACAGTAGTGCTTGCACCATAGAATGAGTTTGGAAATATTCTCTCCTCTTTATTTTTTGGAATAGTTTGAGTAGAATTGGTATTAGTTACTCTTTAAGTGTTTGGTACAATCCAGCAGTGAAGCCATCAGGTACTCGACTTTTCTTTGATGGGAGACTTTTTATTACTGCTTCTCGTTAACAGAATTCTTGGTTGAGAAACTCAGAGTACAGGAAATTTTCTTGAATTGTATCAATTACAATTTTCTGTCTTTGATATTTCTGTTTTCCATTTCTGTAACTTGTACTATTCAGGTATTAGATCTTCTGGGATGATACTATGATTTTCTTACCTTTGCTTTTTTATTTTACAAATCTTTATATTTTTATTATAATTTCTAGAATATTTGCTTATTTTACCATACTTTATTGAGATGTTCATTTTTATAACATATTACTAATATCTAGCAACCCATTTTCTCCTCTGAATGTTCCATGTTGATATCATATAATTATTATTTCATGGATGTTTTTGCCTCCCTTTTATCTTTCTCAGGTTATAAATGCTATATATTCTTTTAAGTTTTCTTTTTCATGAATAATTTCTATTTCCTTCAATTTCCTTTTTTTCTATTTGCCTAGTCTCTTTTTTTCATATCAGAAGAATCCTTCAATGTGTGGCAATCCTTGGTTGTCTTCTCACAATTAAGAGGAACTAAAATACTTTGAAAGTTCTGAGTAAATGAATAGGGTTTACTGACTTGGATCTGGTTGAACTGTTTTTTAGAAAGATAAAAGCCCATTATGCAATGATTGGAAAAAGGAAAAAGAAAAAGTAGAAAATGTGTATTATTTAGGAGATATGGAATATTCTTTAGTTTTCTAAGCCATTTCATTGAGGTATAATTGACATATCAAAAAACTATTTATATTTAATGTATACAACTCAATGACTTTAGAGATAAGTATACACCATAAAACCATCACAACAATCTATATCAAAAATATACCTATCACTACCAAAACTTTCCTCTTACCTTCTTTATTTATTATTATTTTTTTGAGGTGAAGTCTTGCTCTATCGCCCAGGCTAGAGTGCAGTGGAGTGATCTCGGCTCACTGCAACCTCCGCCTCCTGGGTTCAAGCAATTCTCCTGCCTCAGCCTCCTCAGTAGCTCAGATTACAGGCATGGACCACAACACCCGACTATTTATTGCATTTTTAGTAGCAACAGAGGTTTCACCATGTTGGCCAGGCTGGTCTTGAACTCCTAACTTCAAATGATCCCCCCACTTCAGCCTTCCAAAGTGCTGGGATTACAGGCATGTGCCACTGTGTCCAGCCAATTATTTTTTGTGTGTGATCAGAACACTTAACATCTGTCATCTTAGCAAATGTTTAGGTATACAATGCAATGTTGTTAACTATAGGCTTCATGTTGGACAGATCTCTAGGACTTATTCATCTTATATAACTAAAGCTTTGTACCCTTTGACTAATACTTCCTCATTTCTCCTTTCTCCAGACCCTGGTAACCACCGTACTACTCTCTGCTTCTTTGGGTTTGACTATTTTAGATTCCTCATGTATGTGCTATCATGTAGTTGAAATATTACTTAATATACACTATTAAGTGAAAAATATGTGTAGTAAAACATATGTGCATGCCACCATTTATATAAAAAGTGAAGAGACAGAGATGGGATAGAAATTTTTCTCCATATGGCCGGGCGTAGTGGCTCACACCTGTAATTCCAGCACTTTGGGAAGCCAAGGCAGCTGGTCACCTGAATCAGGAGTTTGAGACCAGCCTGGTCAACATGGTGAAACCCCATCTCTACCAAAAAATACAAAAATTAGCCAGGCATGGTGGTGCATGTCTGTAGTCCCAACTACTGGGGAGGCTGAGGTGGGAGAATTGCTTGAACCGGGGACACAGAAGTTGCAGTGAGCCGAGATCGCGCCACTGCACTCCAGCCTAGGTGACAGAGTGAGACCCTGTCTCAAAAAAAAAAAAAAAAAAAAAAAAAAATGAAACCTCTCCATAACACTTTTGCACATTTTATATTTTGATTATGTGAATATCTTACTTAAGAAATAAATTATTATTTTTTATATCATAAGCATTTCTAGGTGTGGATATCTTGTCAATGATTTTGTGTAAAATGCTATAAATGTTTTCAATTTATATATCCATATTTATTTTTAGCTGAGAAAACTTTCTCCCATTATATCATTGATTACTGGTTTATTTTCTAATTATTGTAATCCTTCCAAAAGTAACAAATACTTAAGTTAAATAATAATTTTTTTCTGATATTTCTTCTATGTTGCCTTAGCCCATTCAAGCTGCTGTAACAGAATGCCTTAGATTAGGTAGCTTATAAACAACATAAATTTATTTCTCAAAGTTCTGGAAGCTGGAAACTCTGAGATCAAAGAGTCAACAAATTTGGTGTCTGGTGAGGGCCAGCTTCCTGATTCACAGATGGTTGTTTTCTCCCTGTGTCCTCGCATGGTGAAAGGGGCAAGAGAGCTCTCTAGCATCCTTTTATAAGGGCACCAATCCCATCCATGAGGGCTCCATCCTCATGACCTAATCGAGCCCCAAAGACTTCACCCCTAATACCATCACACTGGGGATTGGGCTTCAACATATGAATTTAGGGAAGACACAAACATTCAGTATAGCACCTTTCCTTGTCTTCCCCAAATTTATTTTTTCTTACCTTTTATATAACCTTTTCATTCTCATCCATTGTATTTTTGTTTCAGACAGTTCTTTGTTGGGTTTTTTGCACCCAACACAGAGTTGTGCATGAAGAGGAAAATAGCTGAGCTTATCAGTATAAAACAAGGCAGCTATAACCTGCCCATCAAGAATGGAATATTACTGTGATCATTGAATGGCTTGGAACCAGTCAGCACATGGCAGAACAGCCAATGGATAAATGCTGACCAGACTGTGCAGGACATGTGTTCAACAATAACATGGGGCAGCAACCAAGACATAGTAAAGAGCCAAAGGGCAGCAGGTACTCCTCACTCTCTCTCCCAAACCCTGACCCATGCAGGGTACCTCTCAGGGATCTTAGATTGTTGATTGTGTGGGAGCGGAGGGCTCAGGAGCAAAATAGAGGGCTTTTTGCCAACACAGACATGTGGTGACTCTATGACTATATTGGATAATATCGATAATATAATTTTGAATCATTTGTGAGGTTTTCCATAATATTAATCTAAATCCATCCTGTTGCTGCGTAAGCACATTTGATGCTAATTTTTTTTCTTTTATTTCAGGAAATGGGCATAGCCTACATCCCATAAATATAACTCTTATCTCTGTATAACCTTTTGAATTGGTGTCACAACCAGTGATACTCAGACTGCTTTATTGAACTGGAATATTTTACAAAATAAATAAGCACGTTTGAATGGCTTTGGTCATGGTCCACACTCTCTAGCCCAAACATAAGCTCACCTGCTCTTACTCTTACAATGAGACTGATTCAGACATTTGTGTTGTCTGTTGTTCCTTGTAGACTTTTGAGTTTGCCAACTCTGCTTTAGAATTCTCAAAGTCATTTTATATTTGTGATTTCCTTTGCTCTTCACAACAGCCCCAACACAGGGCTATATTACCTACTATCATTCTCCCTGTTCAGATCAGAAAATGTGGGCTCTAAGGGGTTAATTGGCTTGCTGAAAGTTACCACACAACTAGTAAATGGCAGGTGTAGAGTCAGTATCTTTTTACTATAAAATACTGCCTTTTTTTTTTTTCTTTGAGACGGAGTTTCTCTCTTGTTGCCCAGGCTGGAGTGCAATGGTATGATCTTGGCTCACTGCAACCTCCACCTCCCAGGTTCAAGCAATTCTCCTGTCTCAGCCTCCTGAGAAGCTGGGATTACAGGTGCCTGCCACTATTCCCGGTTAATTTTTGTTATTTTTAGTAGAGACGGGGTTTCGCCATATTGACCAGGCTGGTCTCGAACTCCTGACCTCAGGTGATCTGCCTGCCTCGGCCTCCCAAAGTGCTGGGATTATAGGCATGAGCCACTATGCCCGGCCCAAAATACTGCCTCTCTAAATAGATGCAGAGTAAATGTATTCCACTCATCTTGTTGTCAGTTGCTTTAAGTTTTTATACATTGTTTTTAGAATCTTAAAAGGCATATTAAATGATAGAGCGATTGTGAGAGAAAAAGAGCATTATTATGATTGTTCACTTAATGTTTTCAATGAAGTCAAATCACATACTGTGAATAGCTTGTGGCAGTGTCCTAGGCAAACACATTATGAGAACTATAATAATGATGTATTCATATCTTAATTACTCAAGCATGTGTTCTTTGTGAACAGATTCCCAATTTTAGCCAGTATCTTCACTTATCTTTAAGTAACAAGTGTAGCTGCCTACATTCACAGCAAAGCAGATAGAGAAGAGAAGGTCGGGGAAGGAATCGGAGAAGACACCGAAAAGCCTTTTGACATTCTGAGAGCTAAGTTACCTCTAGAAAGGCCACCTCCAAAGACTTCAGTGTTCAGAGCCCAGGATCACAGTACATGGCTGTTCTTTATTGTCACTAAATGAAGTCAAAACTGCTCCCTTTGTTGAGATGACTTAATTCTGAAATCCAGGCCCATTCAAGAATCTGTAAAATGCTTTTTTTATAAAATGTGCTTTGAAAGACTTAACCGCTGCAAACTAATAAGCAATTTTGTTTGAAAAGTTATGTTCTGAAGCATCAGTGTAGCACACTGGATGAGGGGAAGGCTTTGGAGTAGTGTACCCCAATGGAGAGGAGTTATTTATTACTGACATTGTTTGGAAGTGCTGGTACATGTCCATAATGAAAAGTAGACTGGCTTTCAGTTGGTTTAAGTTCTCTACAGACATTGCAACCCCTTATTGCCTGCACCCAGGGTGAACTACTCCCATCCCCTCACATTCTGCTGCAAAAGAAGAACTATACTTTGACTAAATTCTAGGCACTATGAGCAGCATCTTGAATTCTTAATAATGATGACAAGTACCAATGAAAATATGGCTCTTATGGAACTTATGATCATAGAAATTCAGCTTGAAAACCAGCGAATTAAAGCTTTAATTCATTAAAATATTAAAACTATTGTCACCTAAACAAGCTTCATGAGAAAAAGGTAAAATATTCTGATCGATTTAATTTTTTTAATTATTTAAATGTTTGAAATTTCTGTATTAGGGTCTATGAAATGGAGGAGATGAAAACCATATAGTGCTGGTCTTGAGGGAATTTTATGAGGCCATTTTGATGAAAGAGATTATGCTTATTATGAAAGAGGCCTTACTATACCACAAAAAGATAGAGCCTTTAAGCATTTGAGAAAATCTGGAAGCTTCCTGAAGAAACACCAGTATAAAAATCTCTTAATAGTACATACATAATTTACCACCAATACAATTAGGTTTAAATCATTTCCTTTTCCATTACTTGGACTAGGTGTGTATATATGTGGCGGGAAACAGGGAGAACTAGAAATGGAGAGCACATGCATAAAAATTGACCTGATCAATTAGTAGTATATGGATATAATGAAGTAGAGAAAACTTTTTGGAGAAAGAAGCAGTTGAATTCATTGAATTATACTACAAATAAATAAAAAAGAGTGTTTTGCTCCTGAATCAAATGTCTAGTCATAAAATGAATCAAATATTAGTATTCAAAAATAAAGATACCTGTAATTGAAGTTGTACATAAAGGTCAAATTTGAAAGTTAAACATGACATTTCTCAGTACGAACTTATCTTTATCACTGCACCACTCTTTCAAGAAGCATTTATAAAAATGTGACTATTTAAACAATATGGAAAATAAATCTACTAATATCTTAACAGAATTTATGCTTCCCAGAATAGAATTCTTGTCACCATACTTTGAGATACGGAAAGACTTGCCTTGAAAAAAATTGAACTTGTGTTCCACGAATGGATGAAACAATAAGTAGCAACCAAAATCAGTAAAGGAGATTCAACTCTCAGGATAAATATATGCAAACCTAAGCAGAGAAACTTTACTAAAATAGAAAGAGAATTTGACCAGCACTGGGGAATTTTATAGCCTGTCTCAGCATTGTCAATCACAAAGTTTGCTGTAGTACAATCTAAGTGTTTTCAGTTCTTTATGAGTCCTACAGTTGCCTATTGCAATGACGTTTAGGGTGGGGTGGGCATAGAGTAGTTTTACAGCAATAAAACCACTTGTTGAAATCTGCTCATTCCTTGCTTATTTTTTTACTGCTCTCCAACACTGACTCAAATTTACAAGCACTCACTTAGATCTCTTAAACCTGTTCAGGAAAAGATTAACTTTAAACACAGACACTGTAATATATGTGTAATACACACATCTGCTGGAAGCCATCTTTGTGCTTCTCATAGAGTTGGCAACATCCCATTTCTATCATAGGAAAGGAAACACATTTAAATGTGATAAAAATTCCTTAGGTATTTATAATATAAACTTGGAAAACGGATGTGGTGTATTACTTCTAAATAGTATTAGAATTTGTTAGAATTATGATATGTTTCCAAAAAACAGTATTTTACTTTTGTGAAGGAAAAAATAGAGATGAAATGGGTTATAGAACACTTTAATAATTAATTCTCTATGAGCATTTTACAGAAAAGACAAAAAAATCTTCCTAGCTTCAAAAAAGACCACATTTAAATCATTCAACATAGAATGAATTCTCTTCCAGAAACAGTACTTGAGCAACTAATATACATATTGCACAAAGCTGGATGCTACAAAGCAGTGCTTCCCAAACTGCACTTCTACTCCTAACAACAGAGTAGAGGGAATTACCTCCACTGAATTGGAGGGGATTATCTCCATGGAATTGGAGGGGATAGATCTACTTTCCAGAGGCAGGATAGCGTAGGTTATGCTGCAATAAGAAACATCCCCAATATTTGCATAAAATAGAAAAACTCTGCTCACTCCCACTTCATGTTCATTACAAGATGACTGGGGAATCTGTTTTATGTCACCCACACTCCAATATCCAACCTGATGGAGAATCCACTATCTGAAATATTGCAAGTCACTTTGGCAAAAAGAAGTGAGCTCTGGAAAGCCTCACACCAGCAATTAAATAATCTGCTCACAAATCATTAGCCAGAACTAGGCATGCAAGTTTAGGGGCCAAGAAGTGTAATCTATCCATGTGCCCAGAAAGAGAAGAGTGCTAGATCTCAGTAGGTGCCACATATCTACTCTAATTATTTTACCTTAAAATTATTCAGATTTTTCACTCTACTTCATACAAATCCATTATTATAAAAATAAAGTTTTAAATTACCACCAAGCAAAACTGACAAGTAAAATAAATTTTTATTCTATGTCACTAGGTACATACAGTGGTAAAATCATGAAGGACCTTTTCAGATATGCAAACAGTTTTGCACTTGATCTTGAGGGTAATAAATAGCTATTGAAGCAGCAGGAAGATCACTTGAGCCCAGGAGTTTGAGACCAGCTTGGGCAACATAGCAAGATCCTGTCTCTATTTTTTAAATTAAAAATAAAAAGAAGATTGTACAACCAGATTGGTTGGAAGTAGATGGATTTGAGAAATATTAAAGTCAAATTGAAAAAATTTGGTGATAGATTATGGAAGTTAAGAAAATGAGAATCTAGCATGTTTTCAAGTGTGCTGGTAAGCTAGGTAGATAGATGGCATAACCATTCCCTGAGAAGGGAATAAAACTGATTTAAGAAGGAGAGATGAAGAGTTCCATTTTGGGGATTACAGTTAGAGGGTAAACAGCCAGGCACAGTGGCTCATGCCTATAAATCCCAGCACTTTGGGAGGCCAAGGCAGGCGGATCACTTGACTCCAGGAGTTTGAGAGCAGCCTAGTCAACATGATGAAACCCCGTCTCTACTAAAAATACAAAAAAATGAGCCAGGCATGGTGGCAGGCACCTGTAGTCCCCACTACTTGGGAGGCTGAGGCAGGAGAATTGCTTGAACCCAGGAGGCAGAGGCTGCAGTGAGCCGAGATCACACCATTGCAATCCAGCTTGAGCAACAGAATGATACACGGTCTCAAAAAAATAAATTAATAAATAAGAAATACGTAGTAAATGTATACATGTTTAGATACCAAAAAAACCCTTGGAAAGCTGCTCTGCCCCATTATAAGTTCATACAGTTTAAGTGGGACTGACCAAACCCATCAGGCCAGCTAGAGTTACCCATCCTCCTGGTAAAGGAGTGAACATGTGCCCCAAGCTGAGTCAATCAGAGCTTTCCCTGGGATTTTTTCCCCCAAGTTCTTTTAAGAAAGAGGCTTAGACTTTTCACTACAATCCCATTTGAAGAGATGATACAAACCTATATCTCCTGGTAGCTAACATTACCACAACATGAGAAGAGGATGCCTAAGATTGAACCCACTCAGAGAAAAATAAAGACAAGATGCTTAATGACAATCTAAATTCCTGGGTTCAGCTATGTCTACCCACTTACATAAAGCAATAGATTCCTATTTTTGTTTAAGCTACACTGAATCAACATTCTGTCACTTGCAACTCAAAACAAAACAAAACAAAACAAACAAACAAAAAAACTAAACCAAAAAAAAAAAAAAAAAACGACTAAGCCTTCATGGGCTGGGAATCCCAAAAGTAGTCAGCCAGAAGTCACTTGAAGCACTTGCAGCTTTTGGAACAAACAGAGCAACTAGCAGGACTGGAAAGAGGGAATTCCACTGGGGGAATATTCAACTCAATCTTTAAGCTTTGTCTTGATTCTAAGTCTATGAAAATGTACTTAACATTCTCCTAGAAAGGTTATTTCCTCCTCCCTTCTTCTTTATGATGAAAGGACTTTAACATCACTCTTTCATTATATGTTCTCCAATTAAGGAATATTTTTATTGAGCTACTTAGTAGCTTTATCCTTGGGTTATGGGTGAACAGGGAAGAGAGTTAAGGAGATACCGTTCAGAATTGAAAGCACACTAGCGTAGCACTAATATTAAAGAACAAAAAATAACTTCAAGTTGCTTGGCAATAATTTCCTCCTCTTCTTCATAAGATGTTCTATTAGTTCCAGTTAACTTAGATAAGGTTAACCCAAGTATGGGCTGATGAATGAAATGTAAGGTTTGCATGGGCATTTGGAATCAAAAGATCTAAAAGGATGTTGCTAACACCAGATGTACTAGCAGGCACAGTTCTAACCATAGGATTCTTGTTGGGAAACTGTAGAGCAGTTCCCATCACATTTAGCCCATATCAGAGACTAAACACCTTCCCCTTCTGATAACGTGTGTATGAGATGCCTCCTTTCTGAGGTCTGAGTCTCTGTTTGAGTCATCTTTGCGTCTCTTTTCTCTTTTCTTCCAATAATCTTCCTCCCTGGTGTCTAGTACAAAGTTTTGCCTGCAATAAGCACTAAATAAATATCTACCAAGAGCATTAAAATGTAAAAATCAGAATTTTCTGGAATACCCACAATCAAATGTGCTTATCAGAAAAAGAAATCACACAGATGTTTTTGTAACAAGCAGAACCCAAATTAGTCTTTCACGATTTCTGCTGATCATATTAGAATCACCATTTCTGCTGATCCTATTAGAATCACCTCTACTTAAAAAAAAAAAAAAGCCTCAAAATATCACTGGCTTTTTTCCACATAAGCAATATTTAAACAAGAAACAAGCTTGGAAGGGGAATAAGAGGCTTTAGCAGTAGATGAATCTTTATCACAAACTATTTCCTCCACGTGAATCGTCCTGCTGGCATTCCCTGGGAATTAACGTTTGCTGCTGCTTGTTACCTGAAGTGTTGCATGAATAAGAAGTATGCATGATAGAGCTTCATGTATTCACTCAGCCCACAGGAAACGTGAGCATGCAGCATCCTCTGATTCAGCAGAGAAGTGCCAGGTCACCCACCTACTACAGAGGGACACAGTCGCTGACTCAGAAAACTCATGCTCATCACAGGAAAAAGAAGCAAGTAAGCACCAAATAAGCAAGGCCTAAATTAATCACTCTCCGTTCAATATATCTGGGTATATTTGAGTCACAACTTTCTGACAAGCCTATGAGATTTTTTAGAAAAAAGATGCAGGTAACTACGAATGCTGGCAAAGCAAAGCGTGTGAACGTCAGAGTAGTTGAAAGCATTTCTGCTTTAGCAAGTTATTTCTTTCCGTATCATCTGGTCAACCTCTGAAACCAGAGTGATATTCTCTCTTCATGTCCCTTTAATCTTTTTGTGGAGTGGTTAAAAAAAAGAAGAAGGAGGAGGAGCTAGGCATGGTGGCTCACGCCTGTAATCCTAACATTTTGGGAGACCAAGGCAGGAGGATCGCTTGAGCCCAGAAGTTTGAGATGAGCCTGGGCAACATAGCAAGACCCTATCTCTTAAAAAAAAATTAGCCAAGTATGGTGGTGCACACCTGTAGTCTCAGATACTTGGGAGGCTGAGGTGGGGGAACAGCTTGAGCCCAGGAGGCTAAGACTGCAGTGAGCTGTGATTGTGCCACTGCACTCCAGCCTGGGTGACAGAGCAAGGCTCTATGTCAAAAATAAAAATAAAAAATAAAAGGAGAAGGAGGAAGAGGAGAATTGTAGTTGTGGTAATTGGAATAGGAAGAAGGAGGAGAATGAGAACAAGGAGGAGAAATTAATATACCTTCCTTTTGCCAAAATAAAGGAGTTTTTGTGAAGCTCTTTGTATTATTATTGCATATTGATATTCCATATATAGACATACACTCATGCCCATTTTTAACATTTTTGTTGCATTAAAATATGGCTCCAAGTGTAGTCTGTCTGTAGATGAACTACAGAAGCTATCTAAATGCTGAAAGAACACCATCACCATGGATGCTGTTCAGTGTGGTGGTTAAGAAGTCTCACTTCAGAATTAGATACTCCTAGGTGACTTCTAACAGAACCATCACCACTTACTAGATACACGAATTTAGCCTTAAAATGCTCAGTTTCCTCATTTGTTCATCAGAACTAATAACGTCTATCTTATTGAATGTATTAAAGGTCAGAAGAGATAATGTCTGTAAAAAGATTGGCAAGGATTTAAGTAACCAATAAATGATAGCCATTATTATCACTATGAAAACTGTATGAGTGTTGACTATGACTTCAGATAAGCAAGATTAGCAAAATTCTGTACACTTAGAAACAGATTATTCTATCTTTCTTTTCTTCCACCTTTCTAGCCTGTCAAAGCCAAGCTCTGGAAAACTGAATGGCCTGCAAGAGCTGTTTAGTGTGTATAATTGCTTTCATTATTGTAATTATTTACAGTACTGGTAGCTTCACACTTGCATTACTAATAAACCTTTCAAAGTGTACTGGCATTTGGGTTGGTTATGAAGGTTCAAAACCTTACAAGTTTCCATAGTGATCCCAAAATATTCAGAAACCGTAAACTACTTTGAAAAATAAAAAACATCATAGAGAAGTACACATTAGTATCCTGAAAAAAAGAACATTCTTTGCCACAACAGTAACATCAATTCAGAAATGTTTCCTTAGACCTGGAAGCAACTTAATGTAATTTGAAGCCAGGGGATAACTGGTGTTTAGAGAGTTCCAGAATAGGATGTGGTCAAGACCCCCTTCCCTGCCCGTATGGAGATCTTACAATAATATTTAACTGAGCCCTTGCTATACATCTACCCCTAATCTAAGTGCTTTACATTTATTTGATCCTCTTAGCCACTCCATGAAATAAGTACTATCTTTATGTTCATTTTATGGATGAGAAAACTGAGGCACAGAAAGATTGATTTGTTTGCCCAAGGTTACACAGCTAGTAAGTGGATCAGTCAGTATTCAAGCCTGGTAGTGTTAAACACTATGTTCCTGGGATGTTTTATCATCTATAACCACTGGTGAAAGTTGTAAATGTTAAGGACAACTTGGAATTGCCATACTATATTGTTAAAAACCTACAGTTACTGTGAATCACTAGGCAAAAATATACTAATGTTGGGAAGAAAACCTTTTCCTCTACCACTTGGGTCCAGTGCTTGGGGGCCTGCAAATTAACTGGAAATAGATTAACAGGAGAAAAGACAAGGTTTATTTACATGTGCATGTGGGAGTTGCTCAGCAATGAGTAACTCACAGAATAATGCAGAGTAAAGATTTTTGTATATCAACTTAAGGATGGTTTTGGCCAGGCCCAGTGGCTCATGCCTGTAATCTCAGCACTTTGGGAGGCCAAGGTGGGTGGATCACCTGAGGTCAGGAGTTTGAGACCAGCCTGTCCAACATGGTGAAACCCTGTCTCTACTAAAAATACAAAAACATTAGCTGGGCATGGTGGCGGGCTCTGTCATCCCAGCGACTCAGGAGGCTGAGGCAGGAGAATCACTTGAACCAAGGAGGCAGAAGTTGCAGTCAGCCGAGATCACGCCATTGCACTCCAGCCTGGGTGACAAGAGTGAAACTCCATCTCAAAAAAAAAAAAATAATAATAATAAAATAATCTTTATACCAACTGTGAGAGTCTGAGTGAATTCCCCCACTAATAGAGTCATTTGTTAGGTGGGGAACAAGGATAGCGCAGATACATTGCATTTAAACTAAATTCAAATTAGCTTCAAATAATCTGCACCAGTAATTAGTTCCTAGTTACTGTGCTTGAAAGTCATTTTTAGATCAAACATTCTCTGTCTACAAGCAATAGCATAGTAGTGTACTTCTCATTAAAGGTAGTGCTTGGCCCATAGAAGATGTTAAATAAATATTTATCGAATGAGCAAAAGAATCATTGTAAATATTCAACTGTCTTATGCTGATATAAATACATGGCAGGTTTATATATATTGGTTGCTATCACTTATTTGAAATATTAATTTGTTTTATTTGTAAATAAACATCATAACTATTATAGTGAGAATTACAACTTGAAGTTTATTAAGTAACTATGTTCTTACATATTGGATCAGAGATTAGTATTAGCCAACCATTTTCAAACACCCATAGTTAAAATCTCACTGGCATGGTTAATGATAAGCTACAACAAGACCGGCAGTGTATGCTGGGCCTTGGACAAACTTCAGAGTAGATGAACTCCACTGTATTAGTCAGGGATCTTCAGAGAAACAGGACTGAGATAGGTAGGTAGGTAGGTAGATAGATATATAAATAGAGAAACAGATACAGAACTGAGATAGAGAGGTAGGTAGGTAGGTAAATAGCTAGATGACAGATAGATAGATAGATAGATAGATAGATAGATAGATAGATAGAGATTTATTACAAGGTATTGACTCATATAATTAAGGAAGCTGAGAAGTCCCACAATCCTCCCCAATTAAGGAAGGAAGAGGAAAGCCAGTGGTGTGGTTTGAAGGCCTGAGAGCCAGAGAGCTGATAGTGTCAATTCCAGTCTGAGTCTGAAGGCCTGAAAACCAGGAACACTGATGGCAGGAAAAATCAATGTCCCTGTTCAAGCAGTGAGACAAAGGGAGACAACCTTCCTTTGCCTTTTGTTCTCTTCAGGCCTTTAATGAATTGGATGATGCCCATCTACCTTGGGAAGGGCCATCAGCCTTATTCAATCCACAAATTCAAATGCTAATTTCTTCCAGAAACACCATCAGAGAAATAGTTTCATCAGACATCTGGGTACCACATAGCCTGGGCAAGTTGATACGTAAAATTAACCACTGTATCCACCAAACCATGCTCATTCACACCTCAGTGTCCTTAGGCCCTCTCCTCAATTTTTTTTCTCCTCCCTACCCTGACATTATTTATTCAACGAACAGCAAGAGTGGAAACTAGTACCACCCCTAGAAGCATATATTTTAGCAGACTTCAAAACTTAACCTAGAAGAAGGGAGCTCCTTCAAAAGTATTTTATTCATTCTTACTCCAACTCGACAAATATTTGTTAAGCAGTTACCATGGCACAGATATCACTCCAGATGCTAGGAATACAGCCAGCCCTCTGTATCTGTGGGTTCTGCATTTGTGGATTCAACCAACCACAGACCAAAAATATTTATTTTAATTGGATGGTTGTGTCTGTACTGAACATATACTGAACATACTTAGACTTTTTTTCTTGTCATTATTCCCTAAACAATACAATATAACCACTATTTATGTAGCATTTACATTGTATTTGGTGTTATAAGTAATCTAGAGGTGATTTAAAGCATATGGGAGGATGTGCACAGGTTATATACAAATACGACACCATTTTATATCAGGGACTTGAGCCTTCACAGATTTTGGTATCCAACAGTGTCTTAGAACCAATTCCCCTTGGATACCTACAAATGACTGCACATTGCAGAGCATAAAACTGACACACACACAAATCCCTGCCCTTACGGAGTTTACATTCTAGTGTGCATTTCAGCCAATTGTCAGTCATCTGAAAAATACTTTACAGTACAAAGAAACATCAAAATGTCCAGAAATAACTGAAAACTATGAATCTACAGAGCATCTTTGGGAGAATGTAAATCTAGACTTTGAAAGCCAACCAAATGGGGTTCAAATCCTACCTTACCACCTACTGGGTTTGAGACTGTCTTAGGCAAACTGCTGATTTTTCTCTTCAGTAAAAACAGTACCACTCCTTTAGCATGCAATTATTGAAATAATTGAAAGAATAATGTGTATATATATTCTGAGGGCATAATTTCAGCCTCCTAAGGTTGAATTGCAGTCTGTGTAATACCATTCTGTGAATAAAAATAATCACTAAAGATTGTAGTATGATTTACTACTTATATGGTATGCTTATATTTATTATAATTTTTGTTGGAATGTCTGATCCAGTATTTTGAAATCTCCTTTAGCCTCAGAAAATGAAAGATTTTTTTAATTCACCGGATTCATTTGCAAAAATCAACTGAGCACTTAACAAGTACACTAGGCACTAGATACACAAGGATTTAAATAAAACAGAAATAGAACCAGTTCTCCTGAGCTTACTCTGTAATTGGTGACAAAAACGATAAATAAGTAAACATTTAAATAAACTTATAATTGCAAATTGTAATTTTATCATCAAGTTCAAAAACAGCCCTCCTCACTGGCCCTTGTCCTCCCTTTTGGTCTCCTTTGAAGCTTTTCTCTAACAATATCTCCTCTGTTATTTCATGAACCTGTCTGTTTCTACTTAATCCTTTCTCTCAGTATAAAAGCAGACTGAAGCCTCTCATCCTGAAGCAACAGCAATGGCACTGTCCCAGGATCATGTGCCCTCTGCTAATGGATAATGCCTTATTTTCTCCTTATCTTTTGCAGCCAAACTTCATGGTCTGCACTTCTGTTAGCATGTGTTATCATAGGCCGTCTCCTACTCCTTGCAGGTAATGCCACACATTCCTGCCCTTCTACTGCACTTGACTCTGTGGGCCATTCTCTCCCATTCAAAATTCCTCTTTGGCTTCAGTGATGCCATGCTTTTCTGACTTTGGCCTCTCTCAATTTGCCTAGCCGATTCTTTGTTTTCTTCTCTACCGTTACGTTTCTCAGGAGTCTTTCATTGATCCATTTCTCTGCTCCTCTACATACATTCTCCCAAGAAGTGAGCTTCTATTCTTAGGGTTTCACTGCATTTAACATGTCTTTATTAGCTGGTCCCTTCACTGCAATGATCCATCCTCAGACTTTCCTCAGGTAGCTACTATTGTATTCTTCAAAACTATTTCAAGGATGATATCTGCCAGAAAAGTTCTTCTTGAAGGTTCTAGTCTCCATTAAATGGATTTTATCCCAAATCCTGTAACATTCAGGGTATTTCCTAGCTCTTTCATCTTAGAAACAAGCAAATAAACACATTCCCTTGACCCTATATCTTCCTTGAGTTACAGTTCCATAGCTCTGCTTCTTTTCTAAGAACTAAGAAAAGAACTAAGGTGACCAGAGGTACCAGTTTCCCCAGAACACTCCTGTTTTATACCTGTTGTCCTGGTATAGTGTCTGGTTTAGCATTTGTCCCAGGTTTTTTCACTCTTTAGAATGAGGTAATATTACTATAGTAATAGATACATTGAAATAAGTGGGAATGGCTGTGATCAACCTCTCATTTTGTACTTTAAGCAACTGTCATAGGCCCAGCTTATAGTGTGTGAGCCAGATGCTCAGTGAACAGAATTCTCATTTTAACATTTTGTAAAACCTGAAAGCAGCTGTAACTCATCTCTTTTTCCTTGACTCTTTTGTCAAGGAATGGAAGTACAACCTTGCCTTCAGGAACGATATACCATTTGCTGGCTGGTAGAACAAAGACGCTCACACATGAGTAGCTGAGGACAACTAACTCCTTCTCCTTCCAAGTGCAGCTGCTGCCCTGCTAGGCTTTGCTGCACCAGCCAGTTCATCTGTGGCCTACGCCATGAACTAAGAGAATCACAAAGTTGACAGGTCTCCAAATGGCGGTGTCATCGAGGAATGTGAGAAATCATAGACTAGATATAGTTGAAATACATAAAGGAATGGAAACAGAGTAGTCCTATCTTAAAGCATCTAAATAGCATAGATCTATTTATTTATTTTATTGTTTGATACAGCCCTTTCTAATTTTCAATAAACTCTTTTGGTAACAATGAACTAAATAATGAAAATGCCATGTTCAATGAAAAATTAAGTTCTGAATTTTCATTTCTCAGAAAACACTTAGTGAAGAATGTTTGTTGACATTAACACAGAATGCAAATTTCACAAAAGGTTTGTTGTCATTAACGTCTATCATGGGGGCCCAAAACAGAAGACACATAAGTAAAAAAAAATCAGCATCCATTGCAAGAGTTAAATACTGAGTTTTAAAAGACTATGCCCAAAAACAATTTTACCTCTGTAGCTACAGAAGATGCATTTGCATATCATTCTATGAGGCACGACTTTTCATTTTGATCAAATGTTCTTATAAATACATTTTGCCCATTTTCATTCCAAGTTTTCTTTTACATTTGTGAAAAGTGAAGTGATACTAATAATGTGTTGATTTCATTAGCAAAAGAGTTTTGCAAACATTAAAATGGTGCTCGTTTTATATCAGTACTATTAGATACTCCAAATTAAAAAGTCAAATAAGTTAGGGCTGAGCGTGGTGGCTCACGCCTATAATCCCAGCACTTTGGGAGACCAAGGCAGGTGGATTGCTTGAAGCTGGTATTTCTAGACTAGCCTGACCAACATGGCGAAACCACTTCCCTACTAAAAATATTTAAAAAAAAATTAGCTGGGCATGGTGGTGCATGCCTGTAACCCCAGCTACTCAGGAAGCTGAGGCACAAAATTCACTTGAACCAGGGAGGTGGAGGTTGCGGTAAGCTGAGATCATGCCAATGTACTCTAGCCTGGGTGACAGAAGGAAACTCTGTCTCAAAAAAAAAAAAAAAAGTTAATTCCATTAATGGTTTAGTTATTTAGTTCATTCTATGGAATATAGTGACATTGTTAGAGGGTCATTCTGTAAAGGATGAAATACTTGACATCATTGTGAGTATTATTGCAAATTCGGTTAAAGTTCAAATTAAAAATCAAATCATTTGTTTTCGTGATTATAATACAGAAACAAATTTTGGTGGAGCATAGTGTCATGATTAAAAAGTGTGTTCTATGGCTGGGCGTGGTGGCTCATGCCTGTAATCCCAACACTTTGGGAGGCTGAGGCGAGTGGATCACTTGAGGTCAGGAGTTCAAGACCAGCCTGGCCAACATAGTGAAACCCTGTCTCTACTAAAAATACAAAAATTAGCCGGGCATGGTGGTGCACGCCTGTAATCCCAGCTACTCAGGAGACTGAGGCAAGAGAATCACTTGAACCTGGGAAGCAGAGGCTCCAGTGAGCCGAGATCACGCCACCGCCCTCCAGCCTGGGTGACAGAGCCTGACAGAGCCAGACTCCGTCAAAAAAAAAAAAAAAAAAATAGAGAGAAAGAGACTACTGTCACTCTTTTGAGCAGCAAAATTGCATACAAAAGTGTGTAATAGTATACTGATCATAATGGAAACATTTTCATATTTACTGAAAGTAACTGGACTACTAAATAATTAAATATCAAAAGTATTTCAGCATAGAAGTAAATTATTTCTTTACTGCCTGACATAAACGAGTTTAGAAGTATCTTCTTGAAATATTACTTTGTAAATCAAAGTGTTCTACAATGGTATTGTGCTTATTGTAAATGAACCCTTTAAATTTTGGTTGTATTTTGTTTGAAATCAGCAGAAAGTCTTTAAACAAAACAGTCAATCAGTGAAGAACCAAAAAATCTTCAAATTTTTAGGCTTTTCACAAATTTCAAAATTGAAATAAAGCTTATGAATATGAAGGCATTGAAATTGATACCTACAAAAGCAAGGAGAAAATGAATATATTCAGTGATTACCCCATTTTTTATACAAGATCTGATTGTGAAATTTTGTAATTGTGTTCTAGACTGCCTTACCTTTCTGGAGCATATTTTCATAGAGCTTCTTTTTTATTGAATAAACTTATATTTTATACAAGGTAAAAAGAAATTGAAAAGGCCTATGCTTTTATGGCATAAAATTTGTACAACAATCAAGAGAATTATAAACTGAGATGGACATATTAGAGAATTTTGCCATAAAATTATTTGAAAAGAAAGCTAATTTGAATGGAGGGCAAAAGACAATAAACATAAACAAAATTAAGCTCAAATATTTGAGCTCAAATATTTAAAAATGAGACTTGGGATGTCCTCAATTAACAGAGTTTGCTTTGAGCTTACCAGGTATCACAGCACCAGTAAAGAGAGTATATTCTGGGCCAGGCATGGTGGCTTACACCTGTAATCCCAGCACTTTGGGAGGCCAATGTAGGAGGATCACTTGAGACCAGGAGTTTGAGACCAGCCTGGGCAACATAGCAAGACCCCTACAAAAGATCTCTACAAAAAAAAATTTTTTTTAATCATAAAATATATATGTATGGTAGGCACGCCTATAATCACAGCACTTTGGGAGGCCAAGGCAGGAGAATCACGTGAGCTCAGAAGTTCAAAAATAGTCTGGGAAACATAGTGAGACCTAGTCTCTACAAAATATTTAAGAAATTAGCCAGGCATGGTGGCACGTGCCTGTAGTCCTAGCTACTCAGGAGGCTGAGGTGGGACTATCGCTTGAGCCCCAGACGTGGAGGCTGCAGTGAGCCATGATAGCACCACTACACTCCAGCCTGGGTGACGGAGTGAGACCCTGCATAAAAAAAAAAATTTTAAATTAATAGAAAAAACAAAGAGAAGCTTTTGTTATATCATTGGTGAGCACTTACATTAAATCACATCTGCTCTGTACACTCCAAAAGAGTGGATTTGTCAGATAGAAAAACACAAAACTCTGGGAGGCTGGAGTGGTTGTTATTATCTGCTAAGTAGCCCAAAGCACCTCATATTTTTTATCTAACTTTCAACATTAAATTCCATAAGAGTTACAGGTGGAAATGGGAAATATTTTCATTACCATCACATAATTTTATAAGTAAGGAGCTTTATATTTTATAAGTCAGGAGTTTTCTGTTTTGTTTTGTTTTTGAGACAGTGTCTTGCTCTGTTGCCCAGGCAGACACTGTACTGTCGCCAGTACAGTGGTGCAATCATGGCTCACTGCAGCCTTGATCTCCTGGACTCAAGCAACCCCACCCCACCTCAGCCTCCCAAAGTGCTAGGATTACAGGCATGAGCCACCATGCCCAGCCAGCTCAGTAGTTTTCAAAGCTCAATGTACAGGTCATAAATCTGTTTAAAATGCAGATTGCTACATTCTACTCACAGATAGTCTGATTCAATAGATCAGCATGGAGCCTGGGAATCTGCTTTCTTAAGTCAATGGCAAGTGCTTTATGGCAGGTGGTCATTAAACCGACTTTGAGGAATCATGAGAGCGGCATCACAAAGGCAAAGGGGTACAGCATGGGGAGTCTGGAGATGCCAAAGTCAACCTCCACTGACCTCCCGGCGGTACCAAGGGCTGGTGGGGAGGCGTAATGACTGTGGGTAAAGTGATTTCATATCTTTGGGTGGAAAATCATCTGAGCATGCCAAATATCAATATTGTGTTTCATTTGAGATTCTCTGTTCGCTTTCTCCTGCCACACCTTTCAAACTGTGGTGACGGGAACAATAACAAGCCTGTGTTATTTGGCTTCATCAGAGCTATTTCTTATATATCTCCTTAAAATCGTGTGTTCATTGTTAGACACATTTAAATTTATAAACATGATGTGATTGGGAAAAAATGGTAGATATTTACTCTTTGACTTTTCTCCATGATTGTCCTTTTTCTTTCTTTCTTTTTTTGATCTCAAGAATATGCACATTTCTGCTAAGTAGCCTAAAGTGCCTCACATTTTTATCTAACTTTCAATATTAAATTCCATAAGAGTTACAGGTGGAAATGGGAAATATCTTCATTACCATCACATAATTTTATAAGTAAGCAACATGGATCAGAGTAAAAAGGGAAAAATTAATCACAGCAAAAAAATGTAAGCTGGTCTTTATTTATCAAAGAGAAGTGTTGAAGTAAGGTGGGAGGGGAACTACGGTCAGCCCTTCTATCCATGGTTTCCCCATCCATGGATTCAGACAACCATGGACTGAAAGTATTTGGTAGAAGGGGGATTATTCCACAAAGTTCCAGAAAGCAAAACTTGAATTTGCCATGCACTAAGTACTACACTGAATCCACATGAATGAAATGATATGTAGGCATTTGTATTAGGTATGTTAAGTAACCTGGAGATTATTTAAAGTATATAGGAGATAGGCTGAGCACAATGGTTCACACCTGTTATCCCAGTATTTTGAAAGGCTGAAGTCAGAACACCTCTTGAAGCCAGGGGTTCAAAACTAGCTTGGGCAACAAAGCGAAACCCTGTCTCTGCAATGTATATATACATACACACACACACACACACACACACACACACACACACACACACACATATATGCCAGGTATGGTGGCAGGAACCTATGGTCCTAGACACTAGAGAGGCTGAGGCAGGAGGATTGCCTGAGCCCAGGAATTCATGACTACAGTGAGCTATGATTGCATCACTGTACTCCAGCCTGAACAACAGAGCTAGACCTTATCTCAAAAATAAAATATACAGAAAGATGTATTAGGTTATATACAAATACTATGCCATTTTATATCAGGGACTTGAGCATCTGTGGATTTTGATATCTGCAGGGGATCCTGGAGCCAGTCCCCTGTGCATACCAAGGGATGACTGAAGACAAAGTATCTAGTCCTGCTTATGGTCCTGGCCAGTTGTTTGGCCTTATAAAAACCATGTGAACTCTTCTGAGTCTTGGAGATCAATTAGATGAATGCCGATGCCCTCTCACAAACTAACATCAATAAATATGTCTGATTGCATTCTTCTATTAAAAGAGAATTCAACAAAATACAGTGAAATATAAATGCAGCCAATTCTTGTTTATCTCTTTTAATAGAGGAAAGTATTACTGTAAATCATCCAGAAGCTATGTCTCTGCTGGTTTAATGAGAATGCGATGAAGCTACAATCAGTAGATCCAACACAAGATCTGAGATCTTTCTCAATCATTCAAAACATTAGTCTGAACTGAACTCTGTTGTCCTCATTTCTTTCTTTTTTTTTTTTTATAGTTCTTACCTAATCAGGAGGGAAGCAGTGTGTAAGAGGGCTAGAGAAATACATGGATATTTTGCTTTAGAAATTCTTCCTCATTAGCTGAGTTGAGTATGGACAGCCTCACCCTTCTTTCTAATTTTCTAATGGATTACAGATTGCACTAACAGATAATCAACCAATAAATGGACTACTATAGTATTTATGGAGCAGCTACAAAGGGACCAAGCACTAAGGGAAATTCCAAAGAATATTATTGAGGGTCCTCCAGCTATGTGAAATTTATCATCCATTTGCGGAGGAAAAACACTAACACACCTGAGATATATACAAGAAAATTGTTAAATGTGCCTCAGTGAAAATATTTCTAGATGGAGAAAATTAAACAATCTCCATTAGAAGAATCTAACTCCACAATCTATATGGTGAACTAAAATGAAAGCTGTGAATAAAACCCCCAAATTGGGTACACTGTCTGACTAGCTCATACCTCCATCATCACACTGTTGGAAAGCTAGATCAAACCACTCCTTGCTAGGAAGACAGTATAATGCTATTCAAGAAGAAATTTCAGAGACAGCTCAGAAGCACTTTTTAAAAAGCTGATTTTCAAGTTCCCAAGGGGAGTCAACTTTTTAAGAAGAGTCCTTTAACATGTTTTTGAAATCTTTTGTAACTTCTAAAAAAATATTTTTAAATTGGACTGGACAAGGAACAGAGATGCTTAATGGCAGTTTTGCATCTTGCTTGAAAATTAGCTAGGAAAAAGAACAAATCCTATGGGTTTTGACTTCTTAGAGGTTTTTTTTTTTTCATAAACAAAAGAGAAGTTTCTTATAATGGAAAACTAGTTCCAAGATATACAACTTAAGAGAAATATGGGAAAGGAATTATTTTTCTCCAAAATACCTTTCTTCCTTCTCCTTGTGCTAAATGGTTATTGCGGTGGATGTTTTTTTCCCCTGATAGAACAATAGAGTCTTATTTCCACAAAATAAACCGTGCAAGCAATCAAAAAATACTTTTCTAATGGAAGACAAATTAAAAAAAGGGAGAGAGAGAAAACCCACTCCCTAACAAAAACAAAGATCTCCAGCACTGTAGTTCACATTCAAATGGAAGAAAATCAAATGAGCTTTTAACATAATGATTTTACTGTTTAGAAAGTGCTATCCCATTTTCACGTTTCAAAACATGTGCCAAACAACTCAGAGGTATTGGAGAGAGCGTGAGGAAGATCAGAGAACAAGCGCTTCTTGGCATCCGAGCCTCACTGTGCCACAGGCACAGAGGGGTTATGAAATAAAAAGTTGTTCTTCAAGCAGGAAGGTATGTCTGTTTGTCCCTTGAATACCAGAGCTTCTATTTGAGTTTTGCTATCAAATAGGGTGATCAGAACACTTAATTGCAGATCTAGCTGTGGGTAAAATTATGAAGTCATGGTAATAGTTCCATTTAGTGAGTGCCTATTGTACACTAGATGCTTACACAATATTGAATTCAGTCTTCAGGACAGCCCTCCACAGGTAAATACTACCACCTTATAGATATAGAAACTGAGACCCAATGCTTAAATAATTAACCCACAGTCACACAGCTTATAAATGGATCCAAGAGCTGAATTTGGTTACTTCTGCCTCAAAAGCCTTGGCTCAGCCTCCCTCCCTCACCACCACCACCTCCCCATCTATTCAGAGTTCTCCCACTTCTCCAGGTTCTTCCTGTCATGGGAGAAATAAAAACAATTCATAGAACTTGTTAATGACTTAATGTGTTATCTGTCCAAGAATTGTACTGGAGAGAATAATATTTAAGCTTGGGTCTCCAGTGGCAACATTTCAAAGCATCTGGAAAGGAAAGATTTTTTAAGGCTGAGGGGAAACTTGGACACACCTCTCAAACCACTGGGCCACTGTGTTGTACAACTCCAGGGTCAGGTGTATTGGAGTCTAAGAGAAGGGTGGCCTGTGTGATTATAGGGCACTGTGACATGGCTGTGTGGCCATGGAGGACGAAACCTCATGTAATCGTCAATTGTTAACAATTAAAAAGGCCTTATTGATCATCTCAGTCCAGCAACTGTTTATTTTAAAGAAGAGAAAATTGAATCCTAAGAGGTTAAGTAACTGCCCTATTAATTACAGAGCTAGAATTGTAATTAACACCTCGGGTTGGGGAGAGATTAGAAATGGGGGAAACCAAGGCACACAAGAGACAAGTTTGTTGGACCTCCAAGTTATGTCTAATAGTTGATGCTTTAAAAATAAAATAATCCCATTCCAACTAATTTGGCAACTCAAAAAGCTAAGGATTGACCTGATAAATCAAATGAAGTTTATCTCAAAGATGTGGAACAGAATTCCAATCCAAGTACAAGCTTTTCTTCTCAGAAGAAGGTAACGGATATTTGAACACAAAACTTTCCAGCTCTAAAACCAGCCTTCCAAGCTTCATGGGTCCAATTATTCCTCCAGAATAGGGAGTGTTTGTAACTTTTAGAAGGAAAGTGAACCATTTGGGAAATTCTGTTTAGTCTCCTAACTGCTTTGCTGTAGTGGTTTTCAAACTGCGGTTGCTTCAGTTTCTGGGGAAGAGCTTCAGAAATTCTAGAAACCATTTGATTTACTGATTACCAGATTTCCCCACCTCAGGACAGAGAGAAACCAATTCCCAGGGGACCTACCATGACTGAAGGGAGGGGGCTGCCTTTCCTACCTGCTTATCATCAGCTTTTTGGGCTTCTCCACCCAAACCATGAGCTAGTCCAGGGTTTTCCTAAAAAAAAAAATAGGGTTCCAGGGCTTGAGAAAAAAGTCCATTGAGTATCAAGTTACACAAAGAGTTCCATGGTCCTGAAAGCTACAGAAATCTCCCTGAGAGAAGTTTCCACACTGGGGATATTCATGCTGAGCAGACTACTTAGGAAAGCAATCACAGTTATCATCACTCTGAATACCCAATCTAAAACTGCTGCGCAAAACATGGCCAACTGAGGCACAGATTTTCATCAAAACAATGTTATTTTGTTAAAAGAATGAAACAGATGCTAGTGTGAGCACTAATGTACGCTTAAGAGCTGAAGCTGAGGAACCTAGACTTATTAAGTATTTGAATTTTGTTTTTAAAGCATAATCACTTTTCTGGAAAGCCATTGGCTAAGATTCTTCCCTCTACAGCAGAGTTGTTGAAAGTATACATTCCTCATTGGACTTTCGAACCACTTTTAATCCTCTTTGCTGTGCTTCCTCTATAAGGGATGTCAACACCAACTTTCTTATTGAAAGATAAAAGGCAAGAGTGAACAGGATTTTTTAAAGCTATGACGGTGTTTTATCTCCAAATCTTAAAAAGTGACATTTAGAAGCCAGCGTGTTCTACTCGGGCATTTCTTAATAATGGGTGACATTTTTCTGGAGGTTGGAGGAAGGGTTCGGGAGTGTTTTTAAACTGAGGGAGTTTTCAGAAGCTTGTGCTGGGCACTGGCACTTCCTGGAGTAACAGTAAGAAGGGTGGGAAGACAGAGTGCTAGTGGGAAGTGTGTGAGCTTGACCAGGAAGAGGAAGTACAGGCCAGAGAAATGTCCCGCCCTTCCACTCAGCTCCACACCCCATGCCACAAAACTACTGTGATTAGAAAAGACAGATGCCCGATTACACCACAGCCTGACTACAGCCTGGCCTTTTAGTCTATGCTGACGGGGTAGACATAGAGTTGACAGTAATCTATGAAGCCAAAAATGTTTGTTTGGCCTGGAAAAAAATTTGAGGTAAGCCTCATGAAACCTCCCTCTAGGACACTCTCCCAGCACCAGAGATGAACAGGTATAGTTGTACTGAGGGCCACTCCACCCTAGACACTCCCACGAAATAAGACTCCATCTTAGAACATAGAAAGTGCCCATGTCATCTGTGACATCGCTCATCTCTTGAAAGAAGAAAATCTTCCAGAGGTGGTACCATTTGTTGTTGAGTTATTGGAAGATTTCAAATTCCTCATACAAGGCGCGTTGAGGATACCTGACACCCAACTTGAATGTAGTGCCCAATGCTTATACCATCTCTTCCTGTAACTTTGAAATTGAACTTATTCCACTTTTTACTTTTGGTGGGAAAGATTTCTCTAGTTAATTTTTTTTCCATTCAACAGTCATTTATTGAGCTCCCATTGTGTGTCAAGCAGAAGTGTTTCCTGCCATCTAAGGGAAACTAAAGTCGTAAACAAATACATGATAAAATGTGTGATAAGCGCTATGAGAAAAGTAAACATAGGATGCTAGAGGTGAGGCGGGGACAGAAGAACTGAGTAGATTCTTTAAACCAGTTTCCTAAGTAAAATTCCCCTCCTAAAAGAATTCTCTTTTGGCTACTTGATGCTGGTTACTAATGGAATTCCTGACTAGGATACTAATTTTTTACATAAGTCCCTTATTTAAACTTCCAGGTTTTAAAATAATACTTCATTCAATCATTCAACTGTTATTTTAGCACCTACTATGTGTACAAGTAACTCGTCTTTTGCTTTTCTACATCATGAACCAATGATTTAATGAGCCTCAAGATACCCAGAAAATTTCAACCCCTGAGGAGAAATATCTCAGTCTTTTGCTTGTTATTCTTTGCTCAGCTCTCTGGAAAGAATTCTACAAGAGTACCAGTGAGACATCTAAAATAAAAATAAAAACCACCTTACTGATCCAGGGAAATTTTACGTCAGCATATCAAATTATATCCAAATAGCCAATATGAAAATTGCTATCCAGATTTCATAGCATGATCAAACAATAACAAGAAAAAAACAGTTCCTTCAAAATATGATCGAGGTAAGATAACCAACAATGTTTATCTTCCCCTGAGCTATTGTGATGATTAATAAGATAATGTTCACAAAGGACTTTGAAGGAGTAATGTAATGTACTTTGAAGCATTATCATTTTTTTATTAATGAGTTTTGATTCTGACAGATGCCAGTTGTGCTGCAGCCATGGTAAACCCTTAGTCGTCCCCACAGAGGAAGGGAAATAGGATACGAGGGTGCAGATAGTATGTAGTAGCAGATACACTTGCTCCAGGAGAAAGCCAGATCCTGCTAGGGACAGAAGCTATAAGTAAATCAACTAGAAAACAGTTGGGAGGGGCAGGTGTTATTAGGCTAGTCTGGGCTAGCATAGAAGGAAACACAGTCCAGATCCACATAGAAAAAAATGTAAACAGAAACCCAGGGTTGGCTGGGCGCGGTGGCTCATGTCTGTAATCCCAGCACTTTGGGAGGCCAAGGCCAAGGCGGATCACCTGAGGTCAGGAGTTCGGGACCAGCTGGCCAACATGGTGAAACTCCGTCTCTACTAAAAATGCAAAAATTAGCTGGGTGTGGTGGCAGGCGCCTGTAATCCCAGCTACTCAGGAGGCTGAGGCAGGAGAATTGCTTGAACCCAGGGGATGGAGGTTACAGTGAGCTGAGATCGCACCACTGCACTCCAGCCTGGGCGACAGAGCGAGACTCCGTCTAAAAACAAAAAAAGAAACCCAGGGTTGCGTGAACCAACCAGAGTTCATTGTATTGCATTCATTCATTCACTCATGCACTCTTAGACTGAATATTAAGTGCCTCTCTGTACCAGGTTAAGTGCTAAATGTAAGGGCTATAAAAACAAATAAAACAGCATCTGTGTTTCAGGGGCTTACTTTTCAGTGAGGGGTAGGCAGGAAAAGGAGACAGAGAAACATGGAAACAAGCACTTAAGATTGGAGAGTTGGAAAGTAAGTAGATGAATGAAATAGGTAAAGGTAGAGTCCACTGAGAGGAAGAAGGGCTCCAATTTCAAGGAAGTAAAGTAGTTTGAGAAATTCAAGAAAAATTGCATTTTAAAGGACAGGCAGGGAAGGAAATTTCAGGCAGAGAGAACATTTGTCATATAGACTGCCAGTGTGCATGGCGCCCCCTAGAGTTGTGCCAGTGACCACACCAGACATAGTAACCCTGGAGATGAGGAAAGGTTCAAGTGGCCCACAGTGTAAGGTTAGGCTTGGTCGGAATTTAAGGACCAGTTCTAGAAATTAAGACTTACCCTAAAGGCATTGAGAAAGCTCTTGATGTCTTTAAAAAAAAAAAAAAAAAAAAAAAAGCCAGTAAGTAACCGAACGAAATCGTGGTTTGAAGAGATTTCTTAGCATCATCATAAAATTTGGATTAAAGAGAAGGTTGGGCAGTGAAGAGCTTGTTGTAATTGTCCTTGTGAACAACTTCAAGAAATAGAGAGGAAGGGACAAGATAACACATGTGAAGGAGGTACCATCACACATCACATTTGGATACCGATGATACTGATGAGAGTGAGAATGGGGTCGACAGGGTGCTGGAAGCATCATGAAAGTAATTCTCAGGTTCATGATTTGGGTGGCGGGTAAGTGCACAGCCAGTCACCAAGAGAGGCAAAGGGGAGAAGGGAAAAAAGCCAGAAGGGCGGAAAATTCATGTTTTTCTTCTTATTTTGTTGACTGGCCTCGCCACTCATCCTAGCCCCAAGGAACCTGTGCACCTCCAAGTACAGGTATGTGGTGGGAAGAGAAGAAATACCAGGCAGAGAAACCGGGGCCCCAGAAATAATTCCCTCCCACTTCTCACTTAGGTCTATTGCAAATTTCAAACAAATCCTCTGTCACTACCCTTTCGGATACTTTATTAATGGTGTCTACATGAAAATAAAGGTTCAAATTAAGTTCAGAAAACTTTAAAGCACTTTTTAATGGTGGAATTTTAACATTAAGTATTTATTTTTTACTTTCTTTCTTGTGTTAAATCTTGAATTTTCTAAAAATTATAAGTTTTAACAGGTAGTATTTATACTTGCCAATTAAAAACGTGCCTACCGTAACAAATATCTCAAACATCTTCAAAATCACAAACATGTTTCTATAAGCATAGACTTTAGAATATGAAGAAATATCCCAATATTCCATAGTTGTTTTTGTAATTGTTTCATAATTGTTAGTTAGCCTGCCATAATTATAGGAATATTCTTTTAAACAAATCAAATTTCCAAAAATACATTTAATTTTGAAATTAAAAATTTAGGGCATCTTTTTTTTTGAGGCGGAGTTTTTGTTTGTTTGTTTTTTTGAGGCAGAGTTTCACTCTTGTTGCCCAAGCTGGAGTGCAATGGTGCGATCTTGGCTCACTGCAACCACTGCCTCCCGGGTTCAAGTGATTCTCCTGTCTCAGCCTCCTGAGTAGCTGGGATTACAGGCATGCGCCACCACGCCCAGCTAATTTTGTATTTTTAGTAGAGAAAGAGTTTCTCCATGTTGGTCAGGCTGGTCTCAAACTCCTGACCTCAGGTGATCCGCTCGCCTCAGCCTCCCAAAGTGCTGGGATTACAGGCGTGTGCCACCACGCCCAGCCTGGGGTATCCTAACATAATGATTCATCATGTTTCTATTTTTTTAAGAAATAGAATGTGTGGGGGAACTCATAATGTGATTTGTTAAAATTTGATTTCGTATTCTCTAAAGTAAAAAAGATGTGAGGAAATCATAGTAAGCTGTTAAAACTGCCAAGTTCTGCTGTGTTAAAATATGATTTAAAATGTTTAGGGAAATTTTTAGTGTTGTGTAAGAAGTGGAAGGCAAGTTGCAAAATGCTGAAAGAGGTTAGCCAGGAAACTCTGGCTAAAATAAAGCACGTAGCACAGATACCCTGTGAATACCCTGACTCCTTCATAAACGTAGATTTCTCACCTATACACACAACGCACACATGTCCAGATGTTCACATATGTTTACTAGTTAGGTGAAATAGGAGAGAGGCTGGTACCCAAGCCGTGTTGCCAAGGTAACCAACAGTTTCAGGATGAGACCACCATTGACAACTAGAATGGTTAAAATTTCTCCTTAATTTTCCTTTAAGTACAGCTTTGCAATAAGAATAAAAGGACCACAAGGGTTTCAAGCCCATGAAAATAAAATTTTTCTCTCCTTGCAAAGAGACACAGAAGAGACAGAGTTAAAGATATCCTCACTCAAGTAATATCAGGGGAGCTAAGGAAGCAATTAATGCCTTCTCTCTAATACGCTTCATGCTGCTAATTAAAAATGCTTAACAATCAAAGCAAAAGCACAGTGCATTCTCTGAGCAAGAATAGTCTGACAAATTTCTGCTTTGGGAAAAGGTTCAAGGCAATTGAAGAAAATTATCTACTTAGCCCAGGTAAGGAAGATGGCATTAAATTGTCATTGAAAATAGTACAGTACACTGACAAAGCTATCAATCCATACCAAACTTGGTATTCTTGTCCCCACCCAAATCTCATGTTGAAATGTAATTCCCAGTGTTGGAGGTGGAGCCTGAGGGCAGGTGTTTGGGTCATGGGGGTGGATCCCTCGTGGCTTGGTGCTATTCTCAGGATGAGGAGTGAGTTCTTGTGAGATCCGGTTGTTGTAAAGTGTGGCACCTCCCCTCCCACTCTCTCTCTTGCTCCTGCTCCCCCCATGTGATGTGCCTGCTCCTGCTTCATCTTGCACCGTGAGTAAATGCTCCAAGGCCTCCCCGGAAGCCAAGCAGATGTTGGTGCCAAGCTCCCATTAAAGCATGCAGAGACATGAGCCAATTAAACCTCTTTTCTTTACAAATTACCGAGTCTCAAGTATTTCTTTATAGTAATGCAAGAATGGCCTAATATAGTCGGTGTCTTATTGGTTTTATGAACAGTGTCAGTTGTTAGGTGTATCTATGTAAAACCATTTTCCCCCTACTTTACTGAATGCTGAATTAGTTTCCCAGGGCTTTGTTACAGCAGCCCTAGGAAAATGACACAGCATTTAATAAAGTAAGGTGGCTTAAAACAACAGAAATTTCTTCTCTTACACTTAAGGAGGCCTGAAGTTCAAAATCAAAGTATCCACAGAGCTCCTTATAAGACTTTGGATAGAAACCTTCCTTGCCTCTTCCTAGCGTGTGGTGGTGACCATCAATCCTTGGCATTCCTTGGTTTTCAGCTCAATCACTCCAATCTCTGCCTCTGTCTTCACACAGCATTCTTCCTGTATGTCTCTAGGTCCAATTTTTCCTCTTCTTATAAGGACTTCAGTCATAGTAGATTAGGGGTTGCCTTCATTCACTATGACTTCATTTTAACTTGATTGCATCTGCACAGACCTTTCCAAATTAACTAACATTCATAGGTATTGGAGGTTGGGACTTCAATATACTGAGTAGCAGTTGCCTTCATGATATCTCAGTCTAGTTCTATAGTTTTTCAGGCCCTCAGATTTATCAGTACAGTTCCATTGAGGTTTTTATGATTCAGGTCTAGCTGTTGTAACCATGTGTAATCCAAAGCTTTCGTCTGTCACCCAGTCAGAGTCTATTCTGAAGCCTCCACAATCTGTGGGTGAGGAGCATACCCCGCTTTGTCTCACACCCTCTCCTCTTCCCTGGAGCTTACCCTTCTGGTGCTGGGTTAAAATGGAGGAAGAGGAAAATGCAATAGCTTCTTCATATGACTGCACACAATGAGACCACAGTGGTCTCCACAAATGGTCACGCCTGTGAATGGGCTTTTTCACAGGAGCAGACAAAGACTCAAAGTGCATACGAAATGGCCATTCTCCTGGGCAGGGATGTCTCTTTTGAGATTCAGCTACATCTTCTGGGTCACCCTTGTCTGGCAGGAACACCCACGTTCCCTTAATGGCATGTCTCCTTGCCTAGTGCTGTCACGGTCCTCAGCAAACCTGAAGTCCCACTCCCATCAGTCTTCTATAGCACCCCAGCTCTGGGGCAGCAAGCAAAGGAAAAATCCATTCTACATACATCTTGGAAATAAAGAACTTGAAGTGGATAAAGAGTGTTCCCTCTGGCAGACAAGGTGACCTGTCTACGTTATACCTATTCCTCACTTCTTCGGTGCTAACAGAACCCCAGTTTTCCTATGATGTGACAAGGTGGCCAGCTAACATACTTTTCTCTCTAGCTTCTCCTGCAACTCAGGGTGGCTATTAGACATAGTTTTGGCCAGTGAGAAGAAGGCAGAAGGAGGTATGGAGATCAATTTTGATTTCCTGATAAAAGGAAGCACTTAGGGCTGGTGCTATCCTCTTCTGGTTTCCTAGCTCAGAAGCCATCATGATATCTGAAGTGCAGCCGCCATCTTGTGACCATGCAGTGCTGGCTTGAGGGAATGAGAAGCGTTACAGAAGTGCTAGCCCTGATGTCACCTACCCATTGAATCATAGCCAGTAGCAGTTTACCTCCAGAAGTCTCATCTGTCATGTGAGAAAACTAAACTTCTATTTACTTAGTCCACTATTAGTTGGGTTCTCTTTTACCAAAAGTTAAAGCATTCTTAACTTGATTCTACCAAGCCAAGTTTAGCAGATGTTCTTTCCCCACTGGAATAGCTCAGCCAGATCTGGAATTGGTGAGGCTAAGAACACATACAGTAAGAAAATAAATTATCAGCCTTCCTCCTTGCAAGTTGAAAAGTTGTCACATATTGTAAACCAAGAACCTTTCTTGGCCCTGAATTTAACTGTTACATCCATAGACCTCGTCAGTCCATCTCTCAAAACCAACCTTCAACATCCTATCACCATATTAAGAAGTTTTGACTGTTTTCATTGGTTGTAGCTGTTTAATGATGATAATAATAATTCATGTCCCATTACATCTTTATTGTAGGGTCCTGATTCAGGGTCCTGATGAGTACCTCTTTGGCCTGTCTGAACAGGAAATGAACTTGTATAGACAGTGTGATCACATCCACATAAATGCCAAAATTAAACAAGTAAACAAACAAAAAACCTTGGAAGAGTAATGTACCAAAACGTTAAGTACAGGTATCTTTGGGAAATGGAAAGTTTTCTATATTTCTTCAGCTACCTATATTATTCATGCTTTTTAAAAATGGATTTTTTAAAACACAAAATGAAATAATATTTTAAGTGATAATAATAAATCATTAAAATCTTAGGCAATTTCCTCACATCTCAACTACAAAAATAAGTACAATTTGTACACTGGTGCCAGAAGTCTGGAAGAGATTGTTACACCCTGTGTCAGCAATTTGCCACCTAACAAAATGGGGCTCCTAGTGATTCTGTGGGAGTGGGCTACAAAAGCTCCTACAAAATTCCCTCCTCTACCCACCAAAGGTACGTCTTTGGAGACTGCCCTAATGATGTTTCTTCCACCTCATTCCTAGCCACCTTGGGTTCTTCTGGAGTTAAATCTTCCTACCCTCATCTTTCTTGATAATATCAGAAGAAATCTCTCTATTTCAAACTTTGTATTGAAAAGCAGGGAAGGAAGTCTTCGTATTTCCCATAATTTACTAAGCAGGAAGTGATGGTGGCATCCTCTAAATTCTCACCACTGTTTTCAGTCTAGAAGTGGATTCCTTGAAAACCGTTTTTCAGATTTTGTTTCATAAAACACTGTAGTGCTTCCATAAATATTTGATTTTAATTCACCTTTTGAAATATGTATTTATGAATATGAAGAAAATTCACAAAAAGGTTAAAAAAAAACGTGTCTCTTCTGCCTCAGATCCCCCAACCCACTTCCCACAAGGAAATTTTATCAATAGTTTGTTGTGAAATTTTTCATACAGATGAGCAATTTTTTTATCTCTCACACAAGAAATGAGAATTTTATACACAGTTTCCTACCTTGCTGTGTTCACTTCGTAGAATATGTTGAAAACCTTTCCAATTAGTATATACAAATATATTCATTCTTTTAATCAGCTACAAACTGAAGTATATGCAGACTGCAAATTATTTAATTAATCCCATAGTTTTGGACAGTTAGATGGCTTCTAATTCTTGTTAATATATACAGTGCTACAATAAAAAGTCACTTTACAAATATTCTTTTGTACATATGGGGAAAGTCCCATGACATGTCACTGGTGGAAAAAAAGATATATGTATTTTAATTTTTCATGAAAACTGCTAAACGTTTCTACCAAATTTCTACAAATGTATGTTCCCATAAAAAAAATACACATTAATGCTTATTTCCCCACATCCTTGCCAAACCTTGGATTATTTTTTCATTATCAACTTTTTTCATATTTGTCAATCTGAGAAGTGAGAAATGAGATTTCATTCTAAAATTGAATTTCTTTTAAATTTTTTCAAACTGCAATAAAAATCAATTTACAGCTTTAAAATGCTAAATTTTGACACATTACATATCTCCAACCTGTTAACGTATCCTGCGTAAACTTGCAAAAAAGCTTTTCCTGACATTTTTCTACATGTATTTCAACTTGTACATGTATAATGGACTCCACTGTTCTTTTTTTCAGATTCCCATTTGTGTTGTGTTCCTGGATCAATCGTGCTAGACAGGTGTCACAGTTGTCACCCATCAGCCTCTGTGCTCATCTCTATGTCATAGTGGTGCATAAACATCTTAATATAGAAAATTTTAGCTTCTACGATTGAATGGTTTTAATTTATCTGACTTAGATTTATGATATGCTGACACACTACTTGCATTACCTGCTTTATGTGTTGGAGTTGTAAATGGGATTTCTTTTTTATTGCATTTCTAGAGTTCATAATAGTAAAAATATGAAAACAATCTTAACATCCATTAAAAAGAACTAATTAAATTAATTTCATTTATCTACTAAGTGTATTATTTAGGTGACATCAAAAATGATGAGATATATCCAAATATGAGATAAATATATATTATGTAGTGAACAAACCAAAGTATAGAACAGTTTTAGTGAATTTTCTCATTTGTGGTTTTTTTTTAAAGTTATATATCTCTGGAAGCATATAAAAGATTGTCAAAACAAAAATTGAGTCTGATGAGGAAGACATGAGGGCTGAGAAATAGAGATGAAAGGGAGACTTACTTTTCACTGTATAGACTTTGTGTAGTTTTTTCCCCTATATATCTATGATCTTTTTATAAACCACGTAAAATTAAAGTGTGTTCTGCCTCCAAAAGAACATGTAAAGACCTCTATTTAAAAAAAAAAAAATGAAAACAAAAACAAAAAGTAGCATGTAAGGATCTCTTCTCTATAAAACAAAACGAAAACAAAAAGTAACGATAAAGCTAAAACTCAAGTTCAATCAGCTTAGAAATGGAAGAAGTCGTCTTGCAAGATGTAGCTTCTACCATGGAGGAAGTGACATCACCGCCATACAAACATGGTGGGCTTAACAACATCCATTTAAAGTATGTATCTCAAGTAGCTCCAGCCCAGAAATGAAAGACTGAGGTGTCTGTGCAGTGACATGACCATTTTGAATTGGGGGTGTTATATTTGTTTAGGCCACATGTCGAGGTCTTCTTAAACAGGATGACGTGAATTTCCATGACTCAAAGCTAGTCCCCAGTTGTCTGACTACCTGGCTGTCCAACACTTTCCTAGAAAAGTGCAAAGGCTCAATAATATCCAGCTTAGTATGTCAAAGTCAAATATCTGGCAATCCCAATCCTCAGAAACATATTTCTGAAAAACAAGCAGAAAAATAGGCCTCTAAGATGCAAGCAGCTTTACACAAAGCCCATGGATATCAGATGTTCACCCCAAACATTATTTATTAATTAAGACAGAGGATTAGAAACTAGACATACCTACAAGTTGAAGGAATGGTTTACTAGATTAAAAAAAAACCCACACATACCTACAACATTCAGACATAAGAAGTAATAACTGACAGCACCAAAGAGAAACATAAATTATACGTAAAAGCTAGAAGGGTGGTAAAAATAAAACAGTTGAACTTTTTAAAAATTGTGACAAAAAAAGTAACATAAATTTACCCTCATAAAAAATTTTAAGTGTACAGTACAGTATTGTTATAACTATATGCACATTGTTTTACAACAGATCTCTAGAACTTTTTCATCTTGCATTACTGAAACTCTATACTCACTGAACAACTTCCCATTTCCTGTTTTCCCCAGCCCCTGACAATCACCATTCTACTTTCTGTTTTTATGTGTTTGGTTACTTTAGATACCTCATATAAGCAGAACCATGCAGTGTTTGTCTTTTTGCGATTTGTTTATTTCACTTACTGTAATGTCCTCAAGATTCAACTATGCTGTAGCATATGTCAGGATTTCCTTCTTTTTTAAAGGTAAGTAATATTCCATTGTATGCATATGACTATTTGCTTTATCCATTCATCTGTTGATGAATATTTAGGTTTCTTCCACATTTTTCCTATTGTGAATAATGCTGCAATAAACATGGGTGTGCAAATATCTCTTCAAGATACTATTTTTAATTCTTTCAGATGTATACCCAGAAGTATATATTGCTGGACCATGTGGTAGTTCTATTTTTAATTTTTTGAGGAATTGTCATACTGTTTTCTATAGGGGCTACACTATTTTACAATCCTATCGGCAATGCATAAGGATTCCAATTTCTCCACATCCTCACCAACATTTGTTATTTTCTGTTTCTTTGATAGTGTAGGCTAGCCTAATGGGTGTGAGGTGATATCTCATTGTAATTTTTATTTGCATTTCCCTGATAATTAGTTATGTTGAACGTCTTTTCATATGCTTATTGGCCATTTTTATACCTTCTTTGGAGAAAGATCTGTTCAAGTCCTTTGCCCATTTTTAATCAAGTATTTTTTATCTGTTTTTGAATGGTAGTAGTTCTTTATAAATTCTATATATTGGATAACCCTTTATCTGATATGTGGCTTGCAAATATTTTCTTCTGTTCCACAAATTGCCTTTTCACTCTGTTGATTGTTTCCTTTGTTGCACAGTTGATGTAGTTTCATTTGTCTATTTTTGCTTTTGTTGCCTGTGCATTTGGTGTTTTCTTTGAGGTATTATTGCCCATTCTAACGTCTTGAACATTTTCCCCTGTGTTTTCTTCTTAAGAGTTTTATAATTTCAGGTCTTATGTTTAGTTCTTTAATCTATTTTGAGTTATTTTTTGCATATGATGTAAGATAAGGATCCATCTTTCTGCTTTTCTGTGTGGGTTTCCAGTTTCTCCAACACCAATTGTTGAAGAGAATATCATTTCTCCATTGTGTAAGTCTTGACATCCTTGTTGAAGATCATTTGGCCATATATGCAAGGATTTATTTCTAGGCTTTCTATTTTGTTCCATTGGTCTATATGCCTTTATGTCAGTACTATACTATTTTGATTACTGTAGCTTTGTGATATGTTTCAAAGTCAGGATATGTAAGGCCTTCAGCTTACTTCTTTCTGAAGATTGTTTTTGCTGTTTGAAATCCTTTGAGATTCCCTGTAAATTTTAGAATTTTTTTCTATTTCTGCAAAAAAAAAGTCATTGGGATTATGATAGGTGTTGCAATAAATCTATGTATTACTTTGGATAGTATGGATATTTTAATAATATTATGTCTTCCAATCCATGAACACAGGATGTCTTTCCATTTATTTGTGTCTTTAATTTCTTTCACCAATGTTTTGTTTTCAGTGTACAAATCTTTTGCCTCTGTGTTAGTCCGTTTTGCATTGCTATAATGAAATTCCTTAAACTAATTTATGAATAAAAGAGGCTTATTGGCACATGGTTCTGCAGGCTATACAAACATGGCAACTGCATCTGCTTGGCTTCTGGTGAGACATTAGGAAGATTTTACTCATGGTGGAAGGTGATGGGAGAACAGACGTGTTATATGGTGAGAGAGGGCACAAGGGGGTGGGGGAGGTGCCATACTCATTTAAATAACCAGATTTGGCATGAATTTGTTACCACTCATTACCATGGGGAGCGCAACAAGCCATTCATGAGGGATCCACCCCCATGATCCAACACCTCCTACTAGGCCGCAGCACCAACATTGGGGGTCACATTTCAACATGAGATTTGAAGGGGACAAACATCCAAACCATATCAGCCTCCTTGGTTAAGTTTATTACTAAGCACTTTGTTCTTTTTGATGCTATTGTAAATTTGATTTTTTAAAATTTCCTTTTGCATTGTTCATTATTAGTGTATAAAAACGCATCTGACTTTGAGTGTTGATTTTGTATACTGCAACATTGCTAAATTTGTTTATTAGTTCTAATTTTTTGTAGAATCTTTAAGATTGTCTGTATATAAGATCATGTCATCTGTGAACAGAGACACTATTGCTCCATCATTTTGGATTGAGATGCTTTTTGTTTCCCTTTCTTATCTAATTACTCTAGCTAGGACTCCAGTAGTATGTTTAGTACAAGTGGCAAGAGTGGGCATTCTTGTCTTGTTCCTGAGCTTAAAGGAAAAGCCTTCAGTTTTTCACCATTGAGTATGATGTTACCTGTGGGCTTTTCCTATGTGACCTTTATTATGTTGAGGTAATTTCCTTCTATTCTTAATTTGTGGAGTGTTTTTATTATGATAGGGCATTGAGTTTTGTCACATGCTTTTCTTCATCAACTTAGATGATCATGTGGTTTTTGTCCATTGTTATGTTAATGTGGTGTATTCCATTGACAGATTTTGGTATGCTGAGCCATTCTTGCATCCCAGGATAAATCCCAATTGGTTATGGTGTATAATCCTTTTAATGTGCTGTTGAATTCAGTTTCCTCATATTTTGCTGAGGATTTTTGCATCAATATTCATCAAAGATATTGTTTTAAAGTTTTCTTTTCTTGTAGTATCTTTGTCTGGATCAGTTGAATGATTTTTAATGTAAGGGAAAACACACTTCATCCATGGCAAGATCATGTTATAACAGTAACAAATTAAGTTTATAATGAGAACCTTGAATCCTTAAAGAGGTTAAACTATGTTTATTCTCCTCTTAAAGAAGGCAGGAAAATGCATTATTGCATCTAAAAATAATGATTAACTTTTTTAAGATTTAATATTAAAATAAATATTTGTCACCTACCTGAAAATGTCCTCTTACTGTTAGATTAAAAAGATATAACCACCTGGGCCTCGCAACACCCTAGTGGTTCTTCCCTGAAACACAACTATTCTAGAAACAAAATGCCACAGAAACCGGCTTTTAGTGTGTGGTTTTAAGCCTAATTCACGTAAGGTTAAGAAGCTGCAGATCATATCATCTTTCACTGTAGAAACACTCACAGCTCCTAATACAGTGTAGAGTGGTGGCAAAACTGTCCAAGAAAGTCTACCTGCTTTGATCTCTGTGACCTTTTGGAGCTGAGAGTGATTTTTTTGTGCATGTGTTTAGAAAGCATTAAATAGAAATTACCCATTAGTACTTCTGTCTAAAACTGCAAAATCAATTTTGAAATACAAAGAAAAGGAAGTTTTTGGCTTCTGAAATGAATTCTTTTTTCTTGTCTTCATTTAATATTTGTTTTGCTAAATTATTTTGTGTCTCTGTTGATGGTATTTACTGTTCAGTTGCTAATGTAGTTTTTGGTTTTTAAAGCTTTTAACCTTTCATCTTCAGTAATTCAAGTGGGTTTAAGAAATCTCTTTCACTTTCTCTATGTCCAAAAATTGATCTTCCATCAAATTATCTTTCAAACAACTAAAACACTTTGTTACCTGTGATGTGCTTAGAGTCAGAGAGGCCTTTCTGGGCCATCTGTTTAATGACCTTTTAAGAAGAGCTGGTTAGTGGGGATTTTTCTTCTTTTTCTTCTGGTTAGTGTTTTCTTTCCCTCCCTCCTTCCCTCCCTTCCTCCCTCCCTCCCTCTCTTCCTTCCTTCCTTCCTTCCTCCCTTCCTTTTCTCTCTTTTCCTTCTCCTTTTGGAGGGCATGTGAGAGTGATAGAGGAACAGGGGGGCTGTTGGATTTGGATGCTGAATACGTCTATAGTCATAGAAAAACAGGTTCCAAGAAGTCATATTCTTTTTTTTCTTTGGTTGGTTTTTTGCTTTTTAACAAATTCAATAGTTCACATTTAATTTTGAAAGCTTCAGATGTCTGATCTTTTCACATGGTTATTCACATGTCTGAATCACCAAAGTAATCTTTGCTACAAATTGTGGTGGATATTTTAACTGTGAAGTTATTTCCCTTCATGGCAAACAGCTTAATTGAGAGGCTCGATTATCCCCTCGGCCTTCAAAAAATTTCAGTGTACCAAGATTGAATCCAATTTAAATTCCTTTGTATGATAAATTCTTCAGTGATGTAATAATATAATCCTATTTCCAATGATATAGAAGTTATGGAAACACTTTTCTACCATGTCTTCCCTTTTAAAAAAATCACTTTTCCAAACTTTCACAGCACATTTTCTCAAATATAGCATCCTTGGATATTTCTTTGGGGTTTTAATTATATCAGTCTTTTTATAAAAGGATTTTGAGGTAGAGCCTAGCACATTCCATTCACGCACTGCAGTGATTAATTCCTATTGCTGCTCAGTCACTTGTTACTTTATTTTTAGGGGCAAATTTATAGCAACTCCTGGATCACATGTACACTGGTATTTGAAGTATCTGCAGCTGCTTACATAGCAGGAGTTCCAAGCTACATTCCTGTTGTGAATCATAGGTTTATAAGGACGGTACCACGAGTAGCAAGAAAAAGAATTAGTCTTATGGAAGTGTGCACGCACTTATACATACATGCACAAATCTCCAGAAGATTCCGAATATACAAAATTGAGAACATCTTTTAAGTGTCTTATCAGGAAGATGTCACCTTCAAAGAATGCTATTTATATCTAGTCAAGTATATTCTTGAATTAAGAATCTCTGATACTATTGAATACATATTTACATACACACATACATGTATATCTGCATGTCTCATATACACATATGTGTATTATATATGTAATATAGATGGCCTAACAGATTCTCTCCAGTTTAAAAATTTTATGGTACATTATTCTCTATCATATTTCATCATGGCACTGCCATTGGGCAGTTTGTGTTGAAGTCATCCCACTGAGGTGCTGCTGCCTGTCATGCAGTAAAAGAGAATTTATCAAGGCCTTTCTAGTCCCATGACCAGAACCTGCTTTGCATTCACACGAACTCAACTCACACAGAAGTTCTACACAAAACAGTGTTCATAATGAAAGTCAAGCCTCTAGATTCTGGAGTTAGATTGCTGGGCTTGCATCTTGGCTCTATTATTTCCTAACTGGGTGGCCTTGGGCAAGTGCCTTCATCTCTCTAAGCCTCAGTTTTCCCTTCTGCCTACTTTACAGGACTGCTGTATGGATGAAACAAGATAATGCATATAAAAATGTACAGGACATTTTGGGGCTCTTGATAAGCCCTTAGTATATACAAGCTATTTTTGCTATTCTGAAGGAGCAGAGAAGGATAGTGCTTAGGTAGTGCTCTTGACTGAGTTGAGTGGAAAGGAAGGCCACCATAAGAACAGGTGCATTGTGGAAATGAACATGTGTCTCTTCAGTAGTATCCCACAGAACACTTAAAATTCCTTAGAGATGGTATGATCTTTGAGGATGAAGACCTCTTGAGCAAAGATGAGCTCCATCTCAAGAAGAAAAGGATAATTGTCTCCAATGCAGACTGGCTAAAATAGAGAAGAAAGAACTTACAGAGATTTACGAGGACTGATTCAGTGCCTCCTGTATTCAGAAATTATGTAGGGAACAGTTTATGCTCCCAAACAAAAAAATTATTATGTGGTGTAAAACACAAAGACACTTAAAATTATTATAAGATATTCTTATAAATTCACCTTAATAAATATTACATAAATCAACTATAATATAAAACCCATGAAGGGAGGGAAATTTGTCAGTTTTTTTCACAGGTATATTTCTAGGGCCTATTACATAGTATACACTCAATACATTTTTGCTGAATGAACCAATTGCGTGTGAGCTCAGGACCTGCTAAGTTCACTCATGAGAGACATTCCATAGTGTCTGCTTTTTGAACCTTGGTGATGAGGATGAGGGTAATGTAGACGGAGATGTGGAGGAGGCATTTTTCAGGAATAAGGAATAACACAAAATGAAAATGGATAACATTCCCCTTCAGAAGAGGAAGGAATTTTCCACTGGGTTTGCACTATCCTATGTTAGTGCTATGAGCAGTTATCAGAGTAAGCATTTTTGTTCTCACAAGGAGAGCAAGAAAGAAATCTAGACCCATAAACCAATTTATACTTTTTTTCTAACTAGGCTTAGAATTCAGTGAAAGTTGGACCCTTTTCTTCCTGTAAGAGATAACTTTAAAAATAAGAAATAAATTTATTTTTAGAAAGTTTCACCCTTGCTCATAAGAAAGGGAACAAAGGAGGCCTGGCACAGGTGGTCAAACAAGTAATCCCAGAGCTTTGGGAAACTGAGGCAGGAAGATTGCTTGAGGCCAGGAGTTTGAGACCAGTCTGGTCAATATAGTGCCTGTAGTCGTCCTAGCTACTCAGGAGGTTGAGGCAAGAGGATCACTTGAGCCCAGGAGTTCCAGGTTACAGTGAGTGAGCTAAGATTGTACCACTGCACTCCAGCTTGGATGACAGAGTGAGATCCTGTCTCATATTTTTTAAAAAGGAAAAGAAAAGAAAAGGACCAAAGTAATAGGAAAGCTAGGACTGTCTAAAGCCTAAAGGAGATATTTTGGGATGGCTTTCACTAGATAGGCTTGAGACAACAGAAAGTAATTGGGGTTCAGCAGAGCCAGCTAAGTCAATTCATGGCTGCATCTTAATTGTTATAATCATAAACCTCTACATAGATACTTGATTACACTTCACTATGCTTTGTGTGTGCTGGGTTTATTTATTTTCTTCACTTTATTATTAAACACTCATTTGGAAACTCTCAAACTTATCACAGCTGAACTAAAAAGAAAAGGATGTGCTATTTGAACCTCAGAACAGAAAATATGACCATGTACACTCGGCCCTCTGGAAACCATGGGAGAGGATGGAGTCAAGATTTTAAATATGCAGATGACCCATTCAACAAAATGATGGATATGCATGAAAACTTGTTTCTTTCAAGGCAAGAATTACCCAGTCCTGGACCATGGCACTGACTACAAATGTCACACCATTGTCATTGTGTTGACAGGTTTTTTCCCCAAAGGCATATTTACCCTTCACTTTCGCAGGCCTCTGTCAAGGCCCTGGGAGGCACCCAGCAATGTGTTGACGTATTTTTATGAAATTTCTGAATTGTAAAATATAAAATATTTTTAATGCAATGAAGAAAGACTGCTGTCATCTTTCCACTGCAACTCTGCAATGTCATAGTGCCCTCTTGATAGATTATGTTGGAGTGGCCACAGGCATTTTGAGGGATATGTCCAAGGTAGTGGTTCTCAATGGGGGGATATTTCCCCCCAGGAGACATGTGGCAATGTCTGGAGACCTTTTTCTTTGTCACCACCAAGGGCATGTTATTGACATCTAGGGATTAGAGACCAGGGATATTGTTAAACACCTTACAGTGCAGAAAACAGGCTCCCACTACAAAGAATTACCCAGTTCAAAATGTCAATAGTGTCACACTTGAGACCCTGCACTCAGGGGAGGTTGAACAGGGGAGGATATATTTAGTTTGGATTTGGCGGGTACATTTACTTGGTTTGCAGCCGTTACTCTCCTTGTGTAGAAAGAATGCCCCTAACATCCACTGTGCTACTCATCATTCCATGTCATGCCACAAAGGAGCAAGACCAAAAGTTGCTTTGCTCTAACAAAACAGGGAATGTGTCCTAATCTATTCTCAGTTTGTGACTAGTGTGGAATAATAAAGATTTTAAAAAGCTAAAACTAGTCTTTGAAATTTTTCTAGTCTTCAGACATGTAAAATTTTAAGTAGAGGATTTCATTCTAAACATCAACTCAAGAGAGAGATCTTTTTTCAGGAATATGCTTTAATAAGGAACAAATATAATAACCACTCACCATACCTTTTTTTTTCCTTATTGATAGGAATTGCACAAAAGAACTTATCAAAATTCCTGTATTTGTAGGTGTCATAGTCAGTTAAGGCTGCTATAACAGAACACCATAGACTGAGTGGCTTATAAACAACAGAAATTTATTTCTCATCGTTCTGAAGGCTGGAAAGTCCAAGATCAAGATGCTGGCAGATTTGGTGTCTGATATGGTCTGGCTCTGTGTCCCCACCCAAATCTCATCTTGAATTGTAATTCAAATTATAATCTCCATGTGTTGAGGGAGGGACCTTGTAGGAGGTGATTAGATCATGGGGGAGGTCCCCCCATGCTGTTCTCATGATAGTGCATTCTCATGTGATCTGATGGTTTTATAAGGGGTTTTTTCCCCCTTTGCTCTGCACTTCTCCTTCCTGCTGCTGTGTGAAGAAGGACGTGTTTGCTTCCTCTTCCTCCATGATTGTAAGTTTCCTGAGGCCTCTCCAGCCATACAGAACTATGTGTCAATTAAATTTCTTTCGTTTATAAATTAGCCAGTCTCAGGTACTTCTTCATAGCAGCATGAGGATGAACTAATACAGTGTCTGATAGGGGCCCACTCCTGGTGCATGGATGGCTGACTTCTCTCTGTGTCTTCACATGGCAGAAGGGACAAGACAGCTCTCTGGGGCCTCTTTTATAAGGTCACTGATTCCATTCATGAGGGTTCCACTCTCATGACTTAATCACTTTCCAAAAGCTCCAATTTCAAATACGATCACACTGGGCATGAGGATTTAACATGTGAATTTGGGCAGGGGACATAAATATTCAGTTTTAACAGTAAGGTACAACTCTGTAGCAGTAAGGCTATAATTTTTATGCATCCTATAAATAACAAAAACAACAAAAAACACATTTTGATTAACAATGCTAGAGGAAAGACTAAATTATCTTTCCAGTATCTATATAGAAAATAATACCATAAAAATCTTGTTATAAAAAGTGATTTTAAAATGTGAAGTCAAAAAATGTCCAAAAAAGTATTGCAGAAGTATTTCAGGCAGTTAATAAAAATAATGTCATATTTTAAATTGTTATGGTGTTTGTGATATTTGCCAGATTAAATATTTTTCTCATTCACAATATTCATTTTTATAACAAATTTTTATATTTTTAATTCATTTTTCTTATAAAGGAGTCCAAAATTGCATAAGCTTTACATCCCCATAAAATCACTCTGGGCTTCACAGTTTGTGATTCAAAGGAATTTATGTTTGTAAGAAAATCATGTGTGTGTGTGTGTGTTTATAAAATATATGAATCTAACCTTTTCTTTTCTCTTACACCAAGCTCATCCAGACTAGATCCTCCTCAACCCTTGGACTCTTATGGTCGCCTCTAGATTGGTCTTCCTGAACCCAGATGGTGCTCCTGGAAATTAGTCTTTCCTGCAATCTTGGCCCACTGAACCTTTGTAAAGTGCTACTGTGTACATATCACACAGCCATGAACAAAGAGGAAGAGCCCTGGGCTAGCAGACAGGAATGCTCCCTTGGCAGCCTGCACATCCCTCCATACTGGCCTTATCACCACAGGGTCTTGTAATCATCTTCCCTTCTATACCATAAAGTCCTGAGACGACACAGGATTGGCCTTTTTCTTCAGCACCTGCCTTGGTACCTGTCCCAGAGCACTGTCAATAATTTGGTGTAGCTACTTCCTGGATTTTTGTGTACATGTAAAATCATAAATGCATACATACTTTTAAGCAATTGAATCTTGCTGTACAGTGTCCTGCAACTTCATAGCTGCAATTGAAGAGTCTGCTGCATTTTGCAATTGAGCCCATTATAGATACAGCTGGCTTAAGGCTGGTATCTGCTCAAAGAGAAAGGAAGCACAGAGCCTCCTGATGGCTGGCCAGGCTGGCCATCTCGGCCATTGTTTCTCAGTCCCCAACAAGACATCCCTAAAGCAATTTTGTCCTCCCAACTAATGATGACTCCAACACTGCTCATCAGTAACAGCTGTTGGGCCATTGGCTGTCATCCAGATTCTGCCCTTGTGAAACCTGCAGAGCCATGCTGGGAGGAGAATGGCTCCTGTGGGGGCAGATGGGCAATGTAGGGAAATGTCTGGGTATTTAAGGTAGTATCAGGGAAAAGAGGAGGAAATGACTAAGAAGGAATAAGGAAAAAATATGGTTGTTCAAATATGGGTGGGAAAGGACTGTGTCTATGCAAATATCCCATGTAAAAGTAAACCTGTTGTAATTCTTTTTCAGAACTACTTAAAAGGCAGAATTCCACATAGAGGACATATCTATGCATGTTCATGTGCGCATGCACAGCTACACACACACACACACACACACACGCACGCACACACACACACACACGAGTGTCTCTCTCCATTGCTAGGGGCCAAATTTGGTCTAACAGCTGTAACATCAAAGGGCAATTAGTATATTCATGATTTCTTATATTTATCTTTTCATTTCAAAGGCTGCTTATTTGTTTTGCTAATAGATTCAGGCCTTGATTACTGGTTATTGATGGGCATTAATAGATGTCTAGATTTACAAGTGTGTTTGAATTTCTCAAGTCTTGATTGTAGCTGAGGAAACTCAAGGCAGACAACTTTCAAAGACAGACACTTCCAATAAAGGCCCGAGGCCTTACTTAGATTAACCGACAACAATTAGCAATTATAATTCAGAATAAATAAAAAGTGAATACATTAATTCCTCAATTGTGCTAATCAACTACAGATATTAACTTTTCAAACATACTTCTAACAGATACATTATTTTGTATGTTTGGAAATCATCAAACAAGGATCTGTGTGAATACTGAAAACCCAAGCACAGCATTTTTTTTTTCCAGAAAGAGCCAGCTCTTTGCCTGACCAGTAAAATTGTCTTTTTAGTAATATATTTATTCCTAAGTTGATTGTCTTAAAATATTCTTGAGTTTCTGAAACTTACAGCAATATGCATTTATTTTCCAGGATCAATGAGATCAATTAAAAAATTGCAGTAACTGGAGAGAATATGGTTTACTCTCTTTGAACTTCATTGTTGCTTTGTTGGACCCTCTTTCAATTTGACATTTTAACAACTTGAAGAAATATAGATTACAGAGGGTTGGCCGAAACAGCAAATGTTTTCTCAGCTAATCCCCTGAGAATTAAGCTATTTAATTTTAGTGTATAGAAAAAGTGATAAATTACTTGGGATTATACCTCAAAGGTATAAACTCTGTGCAGATAGGTTGCAAAATGATTGTGAGAAAGTAAATCCGAACTGCAAAAATGAAAGATTCTTTGGGAATTGACCTCCCTTGTGGGTTAGGAAAGCCACTTATGCCTAAATGCTCATTTCAAACCTTTAGTTTGAGGTGGTGAATCAATTTGCTTCAAAGCAGAATGAAATCTGGTTTTTAAAAAATTAAATTATTCCAGTGATTTGGTCAAAGGTTATGAGTTGGATACGTTGAATAGCTATGTTAAATATTATTCATCTCATGACAGGGAACAACTTTAATCTCAGTTTATTATGTAGAAACTATTGTAGCCAAGGACCAAAGGTATAAAAATCCCAAGGCCAACAGCACTTGTAGTGAATGGGCAGGGTAAGCGATTTCTTTAATTGACTTGGTAGCCAAATATAATAAAATTCAAACATCCATTTGCACTCAGCTCACTTTATACAGCTCTCGGGACCAGAAAGGACAGTCAATGATAGAACAAATAACCAGTGTTTTGAAATCCTCAATGTAAAATGTACAGCATGCATTATTGCCTTTAGTAAATCCACTCCAAAGCCCAGGATTATATCACTTTATTACTTCAATATACAAACTTTAACAAAGGAAACTCACCCAATTTCAGCTGTGCTGAAGGCTGGGTTTGGATATAAGCTGCCTCTCCACGAGCTTCTACTTGTGGAAAGAGTCACTTCCCAAATGCACATGTCTTCTCTACTTCACTTAGGCACACGTATTTCATCAGCTCTGCTGTGATAGTGCCACGCCATAACATTTGTAGTTTATTTTATATTTATTTATTTACTTATTTACTTATTTTGAGATGGAGTCTCACTCTGTTGTCCAGGCTAGACTGCAGTGGTGCGATCTTGGCTCACAGCAACCTCCACCTCCCAGGTTCTAGCAATTCTCCTGTCTCAGCCTCCCGAGTAGCTGGGATTATAGGTGTGTGCCACCACATCTGGCTAATTTTTGTATTTTTGGTACAGAAGAGGTTTCACCATGTTGGCCAGGCTTGTCTTGAATTCCTGATTTCAGGCGATTTGTCCACCTTGGCCTCCCAGAGTGCTGGGATTACAGGCGTGAGCCACTGTGCCCGGCTTGTTGTTTAAATATTATTCTCATGAAATGTAAAATATAATTTACTTAAAGCTAATTATCTGCATAATCAAAATCATGTTGTAACTCTAAGGACACTAAGTCTCTGGTTTAAAAAATGCTGAGAAGTCTGATTGCAGGTTTAACATTCACAGAAGGTAACGTTAAGCTGCAAACTCTCCTTTTTATCTTCCTCATAGTACACAGTCTGATAAAATTTTGAATTCATTAAACTACTCTATTCCTTTCATTTTCCCACAATTAAGTTGTAAAATAATTGCCATAATCATTAAGCTTCCATATAATACTTTATACATTTAAAGTGTTTTGCAATCATCTATTTTACAAAGTACATTGTTCTGTAAATCAAGTTTTATCATGTCCTATGTTAGTCTAAGAACCATGTTCTACATGATCAGATTAAGAGGTGGTATATCAAGCATAGAGGCAAAGGTTGATCCTTATTCAATATGCACACTTGTTATTTGACCTTTATGCAGTCTAAAAATGTTGTCTTTATTTTATCAGGAGCCAGAAGAATCCTGGAGTAGACCAAGAGAGATATATTTTCAAGATGCCATGCAGTCAACTTTTGGAGCACCCTGAATAGGCTCTGAAATCTATTGCCATTCAGGGTACTCAGTTTCAGTATTTGCCACCATAGCGCCTCTCTGCTAGAAACTGGCCAGTTATTATGAAAGCATGAAATAAATCCAAGTGCAAGGGATCTACAGGGGAGATCCCGACATTTTCAGGTGACATATATTGTACATATGGAAAGGTCAGGGCCCCTTTTTTCAGTCCAGACGTAGAGCTCACTAACCCTTTCAGCAGAAAAGAGAGATTAATGAATTCACTCTTATTGTCTCTCATACCCAGAGAGTCTTTATAGCCATTGCTGCCACATAGGTCTCTCAATTTTCCACTTAGAGCTAACACCCTTTTGCCATCAGATCCCCCAAGGAGAATAAAGCCCTCTCTTTTCCACACCTTGCTTCTCCAGGTAATGTTATAGCTACTGCAGTGTCAAGTCCATATCGAAACTTTAGGATGTAGCGCTCGAGGAACAAAAATAAGAATGCTATCTAACATCATTGTTCCTTATACCACAACAGAAGGCCCTATCAGACTTAGGGCTTTGCAACAAGAGTGCCCTCTAAAAATGCTCTCTTCCTCCTGGATGGTCTATTTCCAGATTCCCCACCCCTACACCCAATTGTGTCCCATTCCTTAAGTCTCTGTCCTGTGCCCCCAACTGCAATCCTTCCCTTGGAAAATGCAATACTGTCCTTCTCCAACAGGAACAGAAGCTTCCACACTGAAGTCCTTCCTGCATCTAGCAAAATCTAGCAGCACCTCCAGCCCTGACTAGAAAGTCAGATAGCTCTCTTTTGCTAAAGTAGGGAATTTGGGTCCTCAGATTGTGAGCAAGAATGAATGTGAAGACTCCAAATGTGGTTCAGTGTCCACACCAGAGATAGCTGCAACTGATTTCCTTTCTAGAAATGTCAACAAAGAAGAGATAAGCACACCTCAGCTACAGAAGCCATAATGCTGTTCTCGGAAAAAGCGTGGTCTAAGATCACACTAAGTTAAGGATAACTCTCCTATAAACCTGGCTTTTGTCTTACCCCTTTCAGTAAAATGAGGCTTCATTATTAAGCTAAGAAGTAGTAGGCACTTTCCTATCTCCCTCATCCCGCCCAAATAGTTTATTATGCCAGATAAATAAGCAGGTTAGTAAGTAGGTGGGCAGGTGAACAGATATATCTTCTTTTCTGCTTCTGTCTATGGGAAACCAGTCTTTCCCTTTCTTAATCCATGGATTTTGTTGGGTGGACCAAGTAGATTAACCCTTTTGAACACAATAATGGAGCCAGTGGTTCTCGCTCCGTTTCTGTCTCTCCCTGTCTCTCTCTGTCTTCTCTACTAAGATTTTAGGCACAAAGGATCACATAAGCCTGAACTGTCAGGGTCCATCTTTCCAGAATGAGCAGAAAGTCAGTCTGGGAATGAAGCCAGAACAGATGAAAGCACAGATAAAAGATGGAGAGAGAGAGAAAGAGAGCTGATCATTGTTTGATTTTCTAGATCCAGCCTTTGAAAAGCCACAGATTCTCTTTTCTGCTATGCCTAATCTGAGTTTCAGCTCTGACACTTGACAAACTTATTACTGGAAAGGATTATATTCAAATGCTAACCATGCCAACTGTGAGGTCTGTGTTTTCTGCTTTATCTGTATTTTCTTTTTTTTTTTACAATGATTATCTTTTACAGTCAAGTGCTGCATAATGACGATACAATCACCAAGAAACACATATACGATGGTGTTTCCACAAGATTAAAATGGAGCTGAAAAAGTTCTACCACCCAGTGATGTAGCCATCTTAACATCGTGGTACAACACATTACTCACATGTTTGTGATGATGCTGATGTGAACAAGCCTACTGTGCTGCCAGTCATATAAAAGAATAGCACAGGCAATTATGTACAGCATATAATACTTCATAGTGATAACAAAGGACTATGTTATCGGTTTATGTATTCACTATACCATACTTCTTATCATTATTTTAGAGTGTGTTCCTCCTATTTATAAAAAAAAATAGTTACCTATAAAATAGCCTTGGGCAGGCCCTTCAGGAGGTATTCCAGAAGAAGACATTGTCATCATAAGAGATGACAGCCTCATGCATGTTATTGCCCCTGAAACCTTCCAGTTTTTAGAGGCAAGATGTGGAAGTGGAAGACAGTGGTATTAATGATCCTGACATCATCAATCGTGACGTCAGCCTAGGCTGATGCGTGTGTTTGTCTTAGCTTTTAACAACAACAACAACAACAACAACAAAAATGGGCAGAAAATAGATAAAAAGCTTTAAAAATAGGAAAATACTTATAGAATAAGGATATAAAGAAAAAAATTTTCATAGTTTGACAATCTGTTTATGTTTTAAGCTGCGCTTACAAAAAAGTCAAAAAGTTAAAAAAATAAAGTTTATAAAGTAAAAAAGTTACAGTGAGCAACATTTAATGTATTATTGAAGAAAAAATATTTGCTACAAATTTAATGTAGCCTAAGTTCATAGTGTTTATAAAGTCCACAGTAGGGCCAGTCACAGTGACTCACACCTGTAATCTTAGCACTTTGGAAAGCCAAGGTGGGAGGACACTTGAGGCCAGGAGTTTCAGACCAACCTGGGCAACATAGCAAGACTTGTCTCTACAAAAAATTTAAAAATTAGCCAGACGTGGTGGCACATGCCTATATTCCTAACTACTTGGAGGCTGAGGGGTGGGATCACTTGAGCCCAGAGTTTGAGGCTGCAGTCAGCTATGATCGTGTCACTGCACTCCAACCTAGGCTATAAAGTCTCAAAAATAAACTAACAAATAAAAATAAAGTCCACAGTAGTTTACAGTAATATCCTAGGCCTTTACATTCACTCACCACTCATTCACTGATTCACCCAGAAATGCCGTATACAGGTGTACTGATATGGTTTGGATTTGTGTCCCCACCTAAATCTCATGTCACATTTTAATCCCCAGTGTTGGACGTGGGGCATAGTGGGAGACGAATGGATCATGGGGGCAGATTTCCCCCTTGCTGTTCTCATGATAGTGAGCGAGTTCTCACGAGATCTGGTTGTTCGAAAGTGTGTGGCACCTCCTGCCTTGCTCTCTCTCTTCCTCCTGCTCCAGCATGTAGGTCATGTCTGCTTCCCCTTTGCTTTCCGCCATGATTGTAAGTCTCCCGAGTCCTCTCCAGCCATGCTTCCTGAACACATGTGGAACCGTGAGCCAGTTAAACCTCTTTTCTTTATAAATTACCCAGGCTCATGTAGTTCTTTCTAGCAATGCAAGAACGGACTAATACATCTGCCATTTATTATCTTTTATACTATGTTTTTACTGTACTTTTTCTATGTTTAGATATGTTAGATACACAACTACTTACCATTATGTTATAGTTGCCTACCAAATTCAGTACAGTAACATGCTATACAGTTTTATAGCCTAGGAGCAATAGGCTGTGCCATAGAGCATGAGTGTGAAGTAGGCCACACTATCTAGGCTTGTGTGAGCACATTCTATGATGTGCACAGGATGATGAAATTGCCTGACAATGCATTTCTCAGAACATGTCCCCATTGTTCAGCCATGCATGACTGTACTTGTGTGATAAAAACAACTTACGTATAAAAATGATTTAGTAGAGCTGGGGATATTATAGAAATAGGTGACTCAGACCCCATCCTTCTGGATTCCTCTTCCCATGATGAGAAGGCCGGAGCCCCCAGGCTTGCATTTAATTCTGGCAGCTGCATACTTACCTGCCTTATCTCTAGATAGCAGTTCCTAGGGCAACGGCCAGGTCTTACTCAATTTTGCAATCCCAGAACCCAGCACCATACCTGACACAACAATTATCACTCGTTGTGGGTTTGTTGACTCTACGACTTAAAGGAACTCAAGATACTTATAATCTTGTTAGAAAAACAAGAAGCACATGGAGAAGGCCATGTGCATCGTTCAAAGCAACATATCATTGCCAAAATTCACAGTTCTAGCACTTACAAGAAATAGAGTGAAAGAGAAAATCTAATGAGGAGAATTGTCCCCATTTCTTTCCAATGCCATGCCCAAGACCAGTGCCATCCGGTAGAAATATAATGTAAGCCATATATGTAACTTTGCAGATGTGAGGTCCTGGGTGAGGAAGCAACCTCTTGAGCTAAAGACAATCCTGCCTGTGTAGTTTTACATTATCTAGTAGCCCCATTTTAAGAAGTACAAGAAACAGGTGAAGTTTAGTAGTTTATTATATTACATCCAAAATATCCAAAATATTATCGTTCAACATGTAATTAACGGAAAATATCAAGCTATTTTACTTCCTTTATGTATACTAAGTCTTAGACATCAGGATACGTATTTTACACTCACAGCACATTTCAGTTCGGACCAGCGACATTTCAAATGCTCAACAGCCACATGGGGCTAGTGATGCCATTCTGGAGAACAGGTCTATACAATTAAAACTCCCAGAATATGCAGAGTTGAATAACCTGCCCTTCAGTAACCCAACATGACTGCCCCTGAGTGGCCTATTGCGATCCAGACACATACCCCCAGCATGCTCACTGCCTCTTCTCCCTAGGAGACCTGGAGTTATAGGACAAGTAGTGAGATGCCGATGCCACTCCCAGCTTCCAATACTAGTGCCTGACCCAGAGGGAGGGCTCAATACATTTTAGTTCAATGTTGAACCCTCATTCCCTTTTCTTTCATAAAGAACCTGGTCTCATCAAAATACCAACAGTTCTTCACCCTTTACCATCATTTTTCAGAAGGAAATTCTAAGAAACTACTTCAGGCCAGCTATTGAAGCAGGCTTCATGAAACTGGTCACACCAGCTACTTCAGATCCCCTCTCTGAAGAGAAAGGAGGAGAGAAAAGAGGAAAACAGAAACAGAAGTTCCTGTTCAACACCTCAGAAGTCCACACCGAGTGACACTACTGGCCCAGGCTACCTTCTTTTCTTTTCGCCATGTCCTTTTGTTTGGCTGCTGTGATTTTTAAGTATTTGAGTTTGAACAAATTAGCTCTGAAGGGAAGAGAATTTCCACAACATGAAGGGGAAACAAGAAAATTTTAAATCCAGTGTGTTTTCCAGCTTCCCATCTTCACACCAAAATAAAATACTGACACTCATGAAAGCTAATCATAATAAGCAAACTAGGAACCTCTGGAGCCCAAACAAAATGAGAAATCAAAAATAAAGATGCATTTTTAATAGTCCTAAACATCTCATTCCAAAACTGTTTGAAAATTAGACCTCAGAGGCAAAGTTCCTTTTAAGTAAAGAAACACGATTTCACTGTCAAATGGGAGAATGTAATTCCCTTGTCAAAAATCCCTTTATTTTCACTGAGTGCCATGGATTCAGAGCAGAAAAGGGGGAAAGCTTCCCCCTGGCCTCTGCATATGATGGGTGGCATGAAGGGCTATGTCCAAGAATTATTGGCAAAATCTCAGATGCCTTTAAAAACAAAAAACAAAAAACATTCATGCTAAGGTTAGAGTCCCTATTTGGAAGATTTCCAGAAAACCGCATATCCAAAAAACATTCACATTTTGAACAGCCTCAGTTTTTTTCAGGCCAGATGAAGGAGGCAGTGCTGCCATCTGATTTGCTCCTAAGTGCCCAGTCATCATAGCAGAAGAAACAGAGACCTGCCACCGCCTCAGATAACGGCTGGACCCTGTTCTGGTGAATAACCCCAAGCCCAGATCTCTCTTTCAGGTACTCAGAGACTTTCATGAAAGTACAAAATGCAAGAATCCTACTGTTCATTTATCACTGTCAGTTGGATTCAAACATGGTTGACCGGGAAGTGGAGGAAGAGAAAGAATGAAAGAGAGAGAAGTCGAAGCTGATGTTTTTCATCACAGATCAGAGCTCTGGGCTCTGGACAGAATCCTGAGAGCTCAGCTGCTCACTTCCTCTGGCCACACGCAAGATCATATTTAAATCATTTCAAATTGATGAGGAGATTTTTTTAAGACCTCTAGAGGAGATAACATTCCCTCAGTAAATTATTCCGTCATTCAACAACCCTCAAGAAAATGAACCTTAATTCTATGTGATTTATATGCCTGCCACTGCGGTTTCCAGGCCCTCTGTGCTTTCAACACACAGTCACTGAGTTCCTACTAAGTACAAGGCTCATCTTAAGGGGACTCAAAGATGAAAGAGGCAGGCTGCGGGCTCCAGATGATTATGGTTCAGTAGGGAACATTAACTCCGTATACAAACAAGCACACTCTACGGTAGGAGGTGCTAAGCAGAATAAGATCATGGGCTCGGACAGTTCACAGGAGGAACCCTTTGTCCTCAGGGAGGCTGGAGAACAGCTGGGCTCCATCCCTTTGTTTGTCCTGGGTAATCTCTCTCTTCCTCACTTTTTATTTGCTCTTTTCGTGGTTTCTTAAGGTTGTCAACATTTTGAGACATATGGAAGACACCGTGTGAGATGGGAACACATCCTATCTGATAGCAGAATGTTCATAGCCTCAGTGACTAAATGTCGCATACACTGTTTGGGGATGAGTGTGGCTACTGAATGCTGGCCAGCTGCCCCACCTGTTCCAGAACTTTCCTTTCTCACTCTTGCCAAATGTGTGTCCCATCTGCTATGTTAAAACTGAAATCAAAGATCAAAACAAGTATTAAACAGTGTATTTGGGGGCTCACTGCCTGAAAGTTAAATAACATCCCTCCTCTCCCTCTATCTTCTGTCATTCCCTGACCTCATGGGAGTGCAACAGAGTGGTCGCTGGTCACGCAGGACACCAGTGTTCTTACATTATTTGGTGTGCTTGACTTGCTTCCCTAGTCAGTGGGTAGTTGTTTCTTTTCATTTTCTGTCTTCCTTGCTGCCAAACTGTGTGGCCCTTAGTAAAAACCTGTTTTGTCAGAAGAAATCAGAAATATGACTCTGAAAAATTAAGGGACTTATCCAAGTTCACACAACTTACGATGGAGTGGGAATTTGACCTCAGCTTTTCCGCTTCTTGGCTTCCTTCCACTGTGTGATGCTTCCTGTGTGGTCATCAGCTCTCCCCAGCTATCTTGTGAGCTCCTAACTGTTCTGACATAGGTTCCTGGAGACGAGTCTCACGTTTTTTTTTATTTACCCTACCATGTCTTTTGCAGAAAACAAAATCAACAGATATGGGAAGTGTTGGGGAGAAAAGCATAGAAAGGTAAATACAAGTGCCAGCTCAAGACACAAACCTAAAACTAGCAGGTTTCCTAAGCACATGAATGTCACTTCCTATTTCTCCTGTAATAATCCAAGGGAAAACTAGAGTTTTGCTGTTTTACCAACAAACAGCACAGTTGATGGTGAGTGTCAGCACACCAGCCACCTAGCAGAGGAGAAGCCCACTGGGTCTGCCTTCCACCCAGACCCAGACCAAGACCCTCTGGATCAGATGAGGCCTCCAGGCAAGGACGGACCACAGAAATCAATAGAACACTTTCAAGACCTGTTCAAGCTTCAGACCCAGTGTCAACATTCATGAAGAGTAAGGAGGACCTGTCATCAGCCATAGTTTGTCATTTCTGAATCGAAGGCAGGGTTGGCCAACGTAGAGGAAACTGGCTGCCCTGGCATGCATTTGGTGCCCAAGGCACACATAAAATTGAGGAGGTTTTTATTTGTTTGTTTTGGGTTTTTTTTTTTTAGACGGGATCTCACTCTGTCACCCAGGCTGGAGTGCACTGGCACTATCTCGGCTCACTGCAAGCTCTGGCTCACTGCAATCCCAGCACTTGGGAGGCTGAGGCGGGTGGATCTCCTGAGGTCGGCGGTTGAAGACCAGCCTGGCCAACATGGTGAAACTCCATCTCTAAAAACACAAAAATTAGCCAGACCTGGTGGCACATGCCTGTAATCCCATCTACTCGGGAGGCTGATGCACGAGAATCGCTTGAACCCAGGAGGGGGAGGTTACAGTGAGTCAAGATCGCACCACTGCACTCCAGCCTGGGCGACAGAGAGAGACTCTGTTTCAATGTAAAAAAAAAAAAAAAGAAGAAGAAGAAAAGAAAAAATGAAAGTGTGTTATATAAAATAATAGTAATCTGGAACTAAAATTTCAAATTGTTTCAACAATATATGGAAATTGATGAGGTGTGTTAAATTTCTCATTTAGCTCAGGGAAAATTCATACTTCTTCATTCTTAATGTTGACTAAAAACTAGGTTTACATATATATTTTAAGTTGACCCTAACCATAAAAGATAGAAATGGAATGTATAACTTCAAATCACCAGAGGGGAAAAAAAGGAACAAAGTTTGATGCAACAATGTGGTAAAACTTTTTGAAATAATACATGACAAACAATTTTTGTAAAAGCTGATCTGATATTTTGGCTCTCACTTATATACATTTGTATTAAATTTGACAACATATATAGCTTTCATCATTTTTGTGGGGATTTTTTATGTAAGATAAGGCATAATATTAAAATATTTTCAAATGAAATGAGACAAGGCATTTAAAACAGTAAGACTATCAAAAGGTTTCTTCAAAGAGACTATGGCTTCCTTGTATTTAAATTCATGTAATTTGGAAGGAGAGATGAGAGGTGAGTTGACACAGAGGACTGACAACAGATGCTAGAGTTCTTCAAAGGGGGAAAAAGAGTCTTGGGAATATACCTACATGAAACACTGGGTGTAAACTGAGGTCTTAAAATTATGCCTTGATGGAAGGCAGGACTTACCTAGAGAACTGAATTCTCAGTATAAGAAATAACAAGATTTGGCCAGGTACAGTGGCTCACACCTGTAATCCCAACATTTTGGGAAGCTGAGGCAGGTGGATCATTTGAGGTCAGGAGTTGGAGACCAACCTGGTCAAACTGGTGAAACCCTGTCTCTACTAAAAAATTAGCCGGGTGTTCTGGCACGTCCACGTAATCCTAGCTACTCGGGAGGCTGCATGAGAATCGCTTGAACCCAGGAGGCGGAGGTTGCAGTGAGCTAAGATCACACCACAGCACTCTATCCTGAGTGACAGAGCGAGATTTC